>NC_000015.10:90683702-90835217 GCF_000001405.40 Homo sapiens | reverse complement strand
ACCCAGGAGGTGGAGGTTGCAATGAGCCGAGATCGTGCCACTGCACTCCAGCCTGGGCGACAGAGTGAGACTCCGTCTCAAAAAAAAAAAAAGAAAGAAAGAAAGAAAAAGAATGATATCTTCATGAAGGCAGGGGTTTCATCGGCTCTGTTCTCTGCTGCACCTAAAACTTCTGGTGCTCAGTACATGCTTACTATAGCCCGTTATTCGTGTTAACCTTGGGGAATGCCACCTACACAGAGAAGTTTGGAGAGATGAAGAGGGATAGGAAGGTTGGGGCTCAGAAAGTGATACCCCAGACTGGGGCTCTGACATGCTGAGGACTGCAAAGCTGCCTAACCTTGTCTTGTACCCTCCCTACCCCCGAGTGGAGGGAGGGACTCTTCCTGGAATTCCTTATCTGACTAAGAAAGTTTCTTTCCAAAAGAATTGCAAAACCAGGTACAGCAGCATGCACCTATAATCCCAGCTATTTAGGAGGTTGAGACTGGAGGATCACTTGAGCCCAGGAGTTTGAGACCAGACCAGGCAACATAGGGAGACTCCGATCTCAAAAAACAACAACAATAAAAGAATTGTGGTTGTCTCGGCCGGGCGCAGTGGCTCATGCCTGTAATCCCAGCACTTTGGGAGGCCGAGGCGAGTGGATCACCTGAGGTAAAGAGTGTTTGAGACAAGCCTGGCCAACATGGTGAAACCCCATCTCTACTGAAAATACAAAAAATTAGCCGAGAATGGTGGCACGTGCCTGTAGTTCCAGCTACTCGGGAGGCTGAGGCAAGAGAATTGCTTGAACCTGGGAGGCGGAGGTTGCAGTGAGCCGAGATCGCACCATTGCACTCCAGCCTGGGCAACAAGAGTGAAACTCTGTCTCAGAACGAACAAACAAACAAACAAATCCAACTTTTGTTCCTTTGCAGTTCCGCCCTCACCTTCCCATAACTTGTCCCACTCAGCTCCCAGTCATTTGCTAACCACTGTCTGAGCACTGAGCCTATTCATTTCTCCATTTTTCCTCTCCTCAACCTTCTGGCCCCTCTTTGAGTTCATATTTTGCATGTCTCATGTGCATGTAATAAGCCTGTTCTTTTTTCTCTTGTTAACTTGATTTTTGTAATAGAGGTGCCGGTCATGACCCTTTACATGGGGAGAAAAGGGATCACCCTCCTTCTGCCCCTGCAGTTCAGAGAAAGGTAAGTCCAAACAATTTTAGATTAGATTGCACCGTACCAGTTCTATTTTAAACTAAATATATTCTATTTTACTTGAGTTTAACAGAAAAAAAAAAAAAGGCAGATCAGGTGCTATGGTTCACACCTGTAATCCCAGCACTTTGGGAGAACAAGGTGAGAGGATCCCAGGAGCTTGAGACCAGCCTGGGCAACATAGTGAGACCCCTGTCTCTACAAAAAAATTTTTAAAAACTAGCTGGGTGTCAGCTGCGTGTGGTGGTTCACACCTGTAATCCCGGCACTTTGGGAGGCCGAGCCAGGCAGATCACGAGGTCGGGAGTTCGAGACCAGCCTGGCCAATATGGTGAAACCCCGTCTCCACTAAAAATACAAAAAATTAGCTGGGCATGGTGGTGCGCACCTGTAGTCCCAGCTACTCAGGAGGCTGAAGCAGAAGAATCGCTTGAACCCGGGAGGCGGAGGTTGCGGTGAGCCGAGATTGTGCCACTGGACTCCAGCCTGGGTGACAGAGCCAGACTCCATCTCGAAACAAACAAACAAACAAACAAACAAACAGACAAACTAGCTGGGTGTGGGAACATGTGCCGCCTGTAATCCTAGCTACTCAGGAGGCTGAGGCGGAAGGATCACTTAAGCCCAGAAGTTCAGAGCTGCAGTGAGCCATGATTGTGCCACTGCACTCCAATCTGGGCAACAGAGTGAGACCCTGTATCTGAAAAAAAAAAAAAAAAAAGGCAAAAAAACCCAGAAAACTTGCTGAATCTTAGATAAATATTTACTTTCCACAAGAGCTATTACTTCATAATGAATTCCTCATGGTTAAGAAAAAAGATTATGAAATTAATTAAGACATTGGAGTCTTGGGGTAAAAACTCAGATGTTTCACTTTGAGCAAGATCAGTCATTTCTTGCGATAAAAAAGGCGACCACTCCCCTCAAACATCCTCCCTCTTCCTCTTGCCCACCCCAGCTCTGATTTTGATGCTGATATTTTTACTTTGTCAAGGTTTATTTATTTTTATTTTTATTTTATTTTATTTATTTATTTTTGAGACAGAGTCTAGCTCTGTCACCCAGGCTGGAGTGCAGTGGCGTGATCTCAGCTCACTGCAACCTCTGCCTCCCAGGTTCAGTCTGGTCTCAAACTCCTGACCTCAGGTGATCCACCTGCCTTGGCCTCCCAAAGTGCTGGGATTACAGGTGTGAGCCACCACGCTCAGATTTTGTCAAGGTTTGTAACACTTTTACTTTAAAACCATAATTCTCCCAGTATTTAGTCTTTTTTTTTTTCTTTTTTGAGAAGGAGTTTCACTCTTTCTGCCTGCAACTTCTGCCTCCCGGGTTCAAGTGATTCTCTTGCTTCAGCCTCCTGAGTAGCTGAGATTACAGGCGCACGCCACCACGCCCAGCTAATTTTGTATTTTTAGTAGAGATGGGGTTTCACCATGTTGGCCAGGCTGGTCTTGAACTCCTGACCTCCAGTAATCCACCCACCTCAGCCTCCCAAAGTGCTGGAATTATAGGCGTGAGCCACCATGTCTGGCCGCCTTTTTTTTTTTTTTTTTTTTGAGATGGGGTCTTGCTCTGTCGCTCAGGCTGGAGTGCAATGGTGTGATCTCAGCTTACTCTAACCTCTGCCTCCCGGATTCAAGTGATTCTCCCTACTCAACCACCCCAGTAGCTGGGATTACAGGCACTGGCCATCATGCCTGGCTAATTTTTGTATTTTTGTACACAGAGTTTCGCCATGTTGTCCAGGCTGGTCTCAAACTCCTGAGCTCAAGTGATCCACCCATCCTGGCCTCTCAAAATGTTGGGATTACAGGCATGAGCCACCATGCCTGGCTATCAGCATTTAGCCTTATAATGAAATTGAAATAGATTCCATTCCATTCTTTTTTTTTTTTTTTTTTTTTGAAGCAGAGTTTTGCTCTTGTTGCCCAGCCTGGAGTGCAGTGGTGTGATCTTGGTTCACTGCAACCTCTGCCTCCCGGGTTCAAGTGATTCTCCTGCCTCAGCCTCCCAAGTAGCTGGAATTACAGGCATGCACCACCACGCCTGGATAATTTTTGTATTTTTATTTTTAATGTATTTATTTATTTTTGAGATGGAGTTTTGCTCTTCTTGCCCAGGCTGGAGTGCAATGGCGCGATCTCCGCTCACGGCAACCCCTGCCTCTGGGGTTCAAGCGATTCTCCTGCCTCAGCCTCCTCAGTAGCTAGGATTACAGGCATGCGCCACCACGCCCGGCTAATTTTGCATTTTTAGTAGAGAGGGGGTTTCTCCATGTTGGTCAGGCTGGTCTTGAACTCCTGACCTCAGGTGATCTGCCCGCCTCAACCTCCCAAAGTGCTGGGATTACAGGCTTAAGCCACCACACCCGGCCTTCCATTCCATTCTTTAATGACATTTTGTCCAGGTGCCTGAAGAGTTTTTTCTTTATCCTTAAAGTTCAGTAACTTGGCCGGGCGCAGTGGCACATGCCTGTAATCCTAGCACTTTGGGAGGCCGAGGCGGGCTGATCACCTGAGGTCGGGAGTTCGAAACCTGCCTGACCAACATGGAGAAACCCTGTCTCTGCTAAAAATACAAAAATAGCTGGGCATGGTGGCACATGCTTGTAATCCCAGCTACTCGGGAGGCTGAGGCAGGAGAATCGCTTGAATCGGGGAGGCAGAGGTGGTGGTGAGCTGAGATCTTGCCATTGCACTCCAGCCTGGCAACAAGAGCGAAACTCTGTCTTGAAAAAAAAAAAAAAAAAAGTTCACTAACTCAGCCAGTATGTTCCTATGTTGGTCATTGTGAATTTGCTTCCCTGGAGTAGTCATGCCCTCGCAGTCTGTAGAGTTGGTTCTTCGTTTCAGGAAGACTTTCTCTAAATAGCTTTTTGTTTCAGTTGTTGGATAATCTACTTCAGGGAGTGCAGTCACCCTGATGTTGGAAGGTCTGGGACCCATAATGGTCATTTTCTCTCTAATTGTTTTAATTTGTCTTTTTCTCTAAATTCACTGCAATTATTTCAAGTTTCTCTCCCACACTATTCCCTTGCTTTTCAGATGCATGTACTATGTTGTAACTCTGTTTTTAGATGTGTCATGGTCCTGTTTTGGTTAATGCGTTTCCTCCCCTCTGCAGTTTCTTTGCATTTCCTGATATATATATTTTTTTTGTCATCTCTCCTTTTTTTCTTTTCTTTGAGACAGAGTCTCGCTCTGTCACCAAGGCTGGAGTGCAGTGGTGCAATCTTGGCTCACTGCAACCTCTGCCTCCTGGGTTCACACCATTCTCCTGCCTCAGCCTCCTGAGTAGCTGGGATTACAGGCGCCCGCCACCACACCCGCCTAATTTTTGTATTTTTAGTAGAAACAGGGTTTCACCATGTTGGCCAGGATGGTCTCAAACTCCTGGCCTCAGGTGATCTGTCCGCCTTGGCCTCCCAAAGTGTTGGGATTACAGGCGTGAGCCACCGTGCCTGGCCTGTCATCTCTTCTTTGTGCTCTTTTCATTCAACTTTTTTTTTTTTTTTTAAGAAATGGGGCTTCACAAGGTTGCCCAGGCTGGTCTCAAACCCCTGGGCTCAAGTGATCCTCCCACTTGGCCCCCCTAGCAGGTGGGCCTGACAGGCGCGCACCACTGCACCCGGCTCGTGCTTTTTATACCTGGTTCATATTCTCATTCACTTTTGTCTAGCGCGAAGCTATCAGTTCCAAGAAAGCCACTCAGGTCCTTGGCTCTGCTGGCTTTCAGCTGTGCCCCTGTGTGATTTCCTTCCCTTTCCTGGCACTTGCGTGTAGGGAGGCGTTGCAAGTTTTTTTCATCTTGCTCGGTTAGCTAACTCCTGACGTTTTACTTGTTCTGCTACGGGAACCTTCCTGTCTTCCCCGAAGAAGGGCAGTTTTGAGGCTGCATTGTTTTCAGTTGGGTAGCCTGAGTGCGCAGAGGTGGGTGGGAAAGTCCCCCCGGCTGAGGCCACCCTGCTGGGGGCCACAGGTCTTCTCTGTCCTGTCATCCCCTAAACATCCTGTGCCCAGCCTTCTGCCCTACTCCTCACCCCAGCAGCTGAACACGATAGCCTTGGAGGTCCCTTCTCACTCTGTCACCCAGACTGGAGTGCAGTGGCAAGATCTCGGCTCACTGCAACCTCCGCCTCCTGGGTGCAAGCAATTCTCCTGCCTCAGCCTCCTGAGTAGCTGGGACCACAAGCGTACCATCACAGCCAGCTCATTTTTGTATTTTTAGTAGAGATGGGGTTTCACCATGTTTGCCAGGATGGTCTTGGATTCCTGACCTCAGGTGATCCACCCACCTTGGCCTGTTGGCTCACTCTTTTCCCAAAAATTTGTCATTGTTGTGCATGTGGTCAGGTATTGGGGTTGGGGAGTTCGCCCCTCATTCTGCCTTCTAAAGTCTGAACTCCCCTCCTCAGGAGGCTCTGCAAAATGCCAATCTCCAGGGCCTGTCCACCCCAAGAGCAGAGGTCCGTGGGTCTGGGTGGGACCTCTCCCTCCCGCCCAAGTGATGCACCTGAGCAGGCTTGGGGTTGAGAAGTGCAGACTCATCCACCAGGAGCATTTGCATTTTACTCAAATTAAAGAAATGCAGCCCTGCTTATGTAAGTCTATATGGCACTGAAATTGAACAGTCCTGGAATGTCCAAGTGGGTGGGCGGACTTGATTATCAGCTTCCAGTGAGGGTCATTCTATTGGTGAGGCCTCGAGGCACAGAGAGGCGAAGTGACTTGCCCAAGGTCACCCAGCATGTCGGCAACAGGCAGGTTTGAAGAACTGGAAATGGTGACTCCAGACCTGGGGGCTGGGATCAGGGTGGCCCACTTCAGGGAGCAGGAAGGTCTTAAAAATTTAATTTTAATTTTTTTTTTTTTAAGACGGAGTCTTGCTCTGTCGCCCAGGCTGGAGTGCAGTGGCGCAATCTCAGCTCACTGCAACCTCCACCTTCTGGGTTCAAGTGATTCTCCTGCCTCAGTTTCCCAAGTAGCTGGGACTACAGGCATGTGCCACAACACCCTGCTAATTTTTTCTATTTTTAGTAGAGAAAGGGTTTCACCATGTTAGCAAGAATGTTCTCGATCCCCTGACCTCGTGATCTGCCCACCTCGGCCTCCCAAAGTGCTGAGATTATAGGCATAAGCCACTGCACCAGGCTAAATTTTAATATTTTTTTTTGAGACAGAGTTCACTCTGTCCCCCAGGCTGGAGTGCAGTGGCATGATCTCGGTTTGCTGCAACCTCCACTTCCTGGGTTCAAGCAATTCGCGTGCCTCAGCCTCTCGAGTAGCTGGGACTACAGGCATGTACCACCACGCTCGGCTAATTTTGTATTTTTAGTAGAGATAAGGTTTCACCATGTTGGCCAGGCTGGTCTCTAACTCCTGATCTCTAGTGATCCGCCGGCCTCGGCCTCCCCAAGTGCTGGGATTATAGGCGCGAGCCGCCGCACCTGGCCAGGAAAGTCTTTTAGTATGAGGAACCCATTATCATTTCCGGGCCTCACAGAAGAAATGGTTGTGGCCTTCCCATGGGAACTTTTGATCTTGAACCTCACGGAGGGAGAATGGCCAGACCAACGGCTCACTGCCACTCCCAGCCCTCCCAGGAGCAGTGACCTCTCCACCTCCCCTCGTCCCCGCCCCGCCCCCATCCACGCACGGTCCAGGCAGCAGTGTCCCAGCAGAGCTGAGCCCAGTGGTGAGTGTGGGCCGGGCAGCGGGTGGAGAGGTCCAGGTAAGGAAGCAGTATCAGAAAAGGTGGGGAGACTGGGATTAGGTCGGGTCAGGCCTTTCTGGGAGGATCCCACATCCATCCGGGGAAGAAGCTACAGGCTACTTGGGCCATGACTAGCAGCAAAGCTTGGCCCTCTGACCGGGACCCTGGAGGGCAGTTGGGCCAGGATGTCCTGCTGGGGCGCCCTGGGTGTCATCAACCCCTGGCGCTGTTCTCATCTTGCCCCACTTTGCAGTGATCTGGAGGGGCCAGCCTGGTGAACATCAGGCAGATCCTCATTCGTTTCATGGCCTTGGTGATTCAGCTGCTTTGGCTGTGAAAAGGGAAAAATTACTGGACCCCTCCGAATCCCCTGCGGTTGTGAGGATGAATTCGTGTGAAGAGCTGAGCTGAGATACAAAAATCGCAAGGCCGGGCGCGGTGGCTCACACCTGTAATCCCAGCACTTTAGGAGGCCTAGCTGGGTGGATCATTTGAGGCCAGGAGTTTGAGACCAGCCTGGACAACACAGTGAAACCCCCACCTCTACTAAAAATACAAAAATCAGCCAGGCGTGGTGGCGTGCACCTGTAATCCCAGCTACTTGAGAGGCTGAGGCAGGAGAATCACTTGAACCCGGGAGGCGGAGGTTGCAGTGAGCCGATATCATGCCACTGCACTCCAGCCTGGGACGACAGAGCGAGACTCCATCTCAAAAAAAAAAATGACTTGAACCCGGAAGGCAGAGCCTGGTGCACTCTAAACACAGGAGCTCAGGAACCGCGAGAGAGCTCAAAATAGATCCATGACACAAGGTGACAAAGATAGTATTGGAATTTTTTGGTGAGGATATGGGAAAAAGGATCCAGCTGTTCACCACAAAACTGAAATTTAATTTCTCTGGGACGTTTCTGCTCTTTCCTTGCTAAACTTCCCTCCTTCTCCTTTCCCGCCTCCCACCCGGCCCCAACATCCCCTCTATTGTCCAGCCCCAGCCTTCTGCTGGCACAGCCCTGACCAAAAGCGGGGTGTGGGGGGTTGCCCACAGCGGCCCCCAAGTGTCCCTGGGACGCGTGAATCACGACAAGGGTTACAGCTTGCCAGGCTCCCACTGCACACGAAGCACATTTGGACATTGCAGACTCTGCATCTCTGTGGCAAGGACTGCCACAACCCCCTTGGACCCAGGAACCCCCAGGAGGAAGCGCTAGTACCGGGTGTCAATGTGGCTACCCAGCGCCCGCTGCTTCTGAAGCTAACCTCGAATGCGTCGCCCACATCCATGGCTTCTCTTCTGGGCGCTTCACAGTAACCGTGGAGTAAGGTGGGTAAGTTACCGCTACTCATTTTCCTTGAAATCCCATTTCTCAGGTGAGAGAGAAAAGCTCAGAGAGGCCAAGGGCTCGGGGCAGCTGTGGTGCCACGCCCAGCCCTTTGGTCTGAACTGCCCCATAGACTGCATACAGGTCCCATTGTGTCCGGACTTGGTGGGTTCTTGGTCTCACTGACTTCAAGAATGAAATCGCAGACCTTCACGGTGAGTGCTGTAGCGAGTTCTACAGTTCTTAAAGGCGGCGTGGCCGGAGTTTGTTCCTGACGTTCGGATGTGTTCGGAGTTTCTTCCTTCTGATAGGTTCGTGGTGCGGCTGGCTCAGGAGTGAAGCTGCAGACCTTCGCCGTGAGTGTTACAGCTCCTAAGGCGGCGCGTACTGGAGTTGTTTGTTCCTCCCGGTGGGTTTTTAATCTCACTGGCTTCAAGAGTAAAGCTACAAACCTTCATGGTGAGTGCTACAGCTCATAAAGTCAGTGTGGACCCAAAGAGCAAGCAGCAGCCAGTTTTACTGCAAACAGCAAAGCTTGCATAGTGTGTAAGGCAACCACGGCTGGCTTCGGCAGCCCGCTTTTATTCTTTTATCTGGCCCCACCCGCATCCTGCTGATTGGTCCATTTTACAGAGAGCTGATTGGTCCGTTTTGACAGGGTGCTGATTGGTGCGTTTACAATCCCTGAGCTAGACACAAAAGTTCTCCACGTCCCCACTAGATTAGCTAGATACAGAGTGTCCATTGGTGTATTTACAAACCCTGAGCTAGATATAGAGTGCTGATTGGTGCATTTACAAACCTTGAGCTAGATACAGAGTGCCAATTGGTGCATTCACAATCCCTTAGCTAGACATAAAGATTCTCCAAGTCCCCACCAGATTAACTAGATACAGAGTGCCGACTGGTGCATTCACAAACCCTGAGCTAGGCAGAGGGTGCCGATTGGTGTGTTTACAAACCTTCAGCTAGATACAGAGTGCTGATTGGTGCATTTACAACCCCTTAGCTAGACATAAAGATTCTCCAAGTCCCCACCAGACTCAGGAGCCCAGCTGGCTTCACCCAGTGGATCCCCCACGGGGCCTCAGGTGGAGCTGCTTGCCAGTCCCGCGCTGTACGCCCACACTCCTCAGCCCTTGGGCGGTCAATGGGACTGGGCGCCATGGAGCAGGGAGCAGCGCTCGTCTGGGAGGCTCGGGCCTCGCAGGAGCCCACGGTGGGGAGGGGGAGGAGGCTCAGGCATGGCGGGCTGCAGGTCCCAAGCCCTGCCCTGCGGGGAAGCAGCTAAGGCCTGGCGAGAAATCGAGCACAGCAAATGCTGGCCCAGGTGCTAAGCCCCTCACTGCCCCGGGCTTGCGGGCTGGCCGGCCGGCCTCTCCGAGTGCTGGGCCAGCCGAGTCCACGCCCACCAGGAACTTGCGTTGGCCCGCAAGCGCCGCGCGCAGCCCGCACCTCTCCCTCCACACCTCCCAGCAAGCTGAGGGAGCCGGCTCCGGCCTTGGCCAGCCCAGAAAGGGGCTCCCACAGTGCAGCGGTGGGCTGAAGGGCTCCTCAAGCACGGCCAGAGTGGGCGCCAAGGCCGAGGAGGCACCGAGAGCGAGCGAGGGCTGCAAGGGCTGCCAGCACGCTGTCACCTCTCACCATGTCCTGTCCGCTGCCGACCGGCCGCCTCCTGAACCCCTTGCTGTCTGTGATGACGCAGAACCACTGTGCGTCCTAAGATCATAGGCAGCCTGTCGTCACGGCTAATTGTAATGATGCTTCCTCGCCAGGGTTTCATGCTTCTGAGTGTGCACTGCCGTCCGATTTTGTTGTTTTCTCTTGGCTTTGGAGAGGGCTTGGCTCTCAGCAAAGGAGATGTGGAGTGAGCCACTCTCATCTTTGCCCCAGTGCTTTGGTGCCTGGGGTGCCCGGGGTGTCCCTGGGAGTGTCTGTGCTGTTGAGGGCACCTGCTGAGGCCTGCATCATCTTCCCTGAGGCAGAATCTTACAACTTTCGGGGGTTGCTGGCTCCTTTGACAACCTGAGAAAGATGGTGGTCCCTTTCCCAGAAATCTGCAGAGACACACAAGAATAATACATGCACTTGAGGGGTTTAGATACCCTCTGACATCTATTTCAGGATTTTCCAGGGGTTCCTAGAGCCTGGATTGAGACCTATATTATGGGGTGTTGTCTACCTGTTCTGCCAATTTCTAGAGCTCCAAAACCTGGATGCTTACATTATGATTGGATAGCTGGGTGTAGCCATGCCTGAAGAAGGCTTCTTTTTTTGAGACTGATTCCATAAAAGGATTAGTTTGAGAATGGCTGAGACCCACTGAGTGAAAACGATGTCCTGTTTATTCACCAATCAACTTCTGCACAAATATATGCGGCAAACAATGAGTACATATAGTGTCTACGTATTACAGTACAATAACCTTCACTGAGATCCAGACACTCCGTTATGGGCTGAGCAGGCATTATCCTATTAGTCTTCATAATCCCCCAGTCGACCCTGTGGGGGATCTGTCAGAGTGGTGGGAAAAACTATAGGGAAAGGATGCAAACCTTCCGAAAGGTCAGAAGGTTTTGCAGAGCCCTGGGGGAGAATAACTGAAGGCAGCTGTTCTATAACCCTGAGGCAGAGGGCAAGGAGTAGGTACAAGGGAGTGTGGGGGAATTTATCTTAAAAGGCTTGTTTGTTTATGTTGTCCAGGAACTGACCTTTGATCATGCGGGTGTGAGGTTCCCTGAAAGGGGAACAATACCTTTTTTTTTTTTTTGAGATAGAGTCTCACTCTGTCACCCAGGCTTAAGTGCAGTATCACTGTCTCTGCTCACTGCAACCTCTACCCCGGCAGGATTCAAGCAATTCTCCTGCCTCAGCCTCCCGAGTAGCTGGGATTACAGGTGCGTGCCACCACTCCCAGCTAATTTTTGTATTTTTGGTAGAGACGGGGTTTCACCATCTTGGCCAGGCTGGTCTTGAACTCCTGACCTCATGATCCACCTGCCTTGACCTTCCAAAGTGCTGGGATTAGAGGCGTGAGCCACCGTGCCTGGCCACAGTAATTGTCAGTTACCTGCAGGTCGTGTCGGCTCCAGGTTTTCCACATTGTGCCTGCACTGAATAAAAGCAAGCAGCTCCAGCTTCTTGGGGCTGCTCTCTGGCCACTTGAGCCAGGCAGTCACCCAGCTGCTCTTATGCTGTATGCCTGTGTCTGAGAACTCATTTCATCCGTTGGCCAGGGTCTATGAGACAGATCTGGCACCACCCCACAGTATAGTGCTGTTATGAGCTCCCTGAGGCACAGAGAAGTTAAATAACTTGCTCAAGGGCTGAAGGTCACACAGCAGGTGGTAAAAGTGGCCTTTGACCCCAAGCAATCTGACTCCAGGGCCATTCAATAGTCTAAGAAATTGCAGGCCTGGCATGGTGGCTCATGCTTGTAATCCCAGCACTTTGGGATGCTGAGGCGGGCAGATCACCTGAGGTGAGGAGTTCAAGACCAGCCTGGCCAACATGGTGAAACTCTGTCGCTACTAAAAATACAAAAATTAGCTGGGCGTGGTGGCTGGCACCTGTAGTCCCAGCTACTTGGAAGGCTGAGGTACATGAATCGCTTGAACCCAGGAGGCAGGGGTTGCAGTGAGCCAAGGTCGCGCCATTGCACTCCAGCCTGGGTGACAGAGCGAAAGCCTGTCTCCAAAAAAAAAAAAAAAAAAAAAGAATGGAAAGGAAATTGGTAGGTGAGGCTGTCCCCCATCCTGTTCTGGGACTTGAATCTGTTCCCCGCTCAGGCCACTGGATCCTGCTGGGGCCCAGGCAAGAAAAGCGGGCTCTAGACCAACCCTGCAATTGCATTTTTCTAGAAAGCCTTCATCACACGTTGCAGCTTAAGGTCCCAGTCTAGGGGTTCTCAACGGACTGTATCTTGAAGTGGCATTTGCCTGGCCCGGCAGGGAGACAGGACTCTGTTCTCAGGCAGATTTGGGTGGTAACATGACCTCATTTGACTCCCAGGCTGGCAGGGCCTGGGAAATATCAGTTTATGCTTGTTTCCAGAGTTTTAAAGGAGGTTTCCTTTGCCTCTCATACACTGCAAAATGCCTGCTTGGAGTGATGCTTTGCTACTTGCTTCCTGGTTGCCGAGTCTCCCTTTAAGTTCTGAGTCTCTCTCTAAGAGGCCCTTTGGTGTTGGAAGGGGCTTAGAACCCTGGCTTTGTCATGAGTCCCTTTCCTGAAAACAGCTCCCGTGCAAGGCTGTTCCACTTCCACATTCTCAAACACCCTCCCTCCCACAGATCCCCAGCCCACCCCGACAGTCTTGTCCAACTTGAGGATGGAGGTGACAGCCATCACGGAGTCTAATGCCCTCACTTTTTTTTTTTGAGACAGGGTCTCACTCTGTTGCCCAAGCTGGCGTGCAGTGGTATGGTCATGGCTTACGGCTCACAGCAGCCTCAACTTCCCCAGGCTCAAGAGATCCTCCTGCCTCAGCCTCCTGAGTAGCTGGGACTATAGAAGCACATTACCAGCTGGGCTAATTTTTAAATTTTTTTGTAGAGACCGGGGTCTTGCTATGTTGCCCAGGCTGGTGTCAGACTCCTAGGCTCAGGTGATCCTCCCACCTTGGCCTCCCAAAGTGCTGAGATTACAGGTGTGAGCCACTGCACCCTACTCCCTCACTTTTGCAGATGGGAAACCAAGGATGAAGGAGAGGAGAATGCCTTGCCCAAGACCTCAGTGCTAAAATTCTCGGCAGCTGTGGTTTGTATTCACCTGGGGCTGGCAGCATCGGGACCACCAGGAGACCCGGTGGAAATGCACACCTCTGGGGCGCACTCCAGACTTGCTGCATCGGAAGCCATGGCACAACCAGCTCTCCAGGTGACTGAGGCTAACACAAGTTTGAGAACTACTGCCCTGGCCCTTGCTTTCTCGGCTGGGACTGACGTTCTGCACAGGTAGGACCCAGTGACAAACTTTCACCTCCCAACTGCTCCATGTACCTTGGTCCCCACAAAAGCCTTCCTCACACACAAGTAAACTCCAGAAACAAAGGATAGGAAAGAGCTAGAAGCAGACACTGGTGGTTATGAACATCTTCACATGATAGACAATGCAGCTCCAAAGTGAGGAAAACTGGCTTGCTATTTCAGCACAAACAAGACGCCAACCAGCCAAAAACATTGGTACACAAGCAAAAGAAAACCTAGGCCAGGCACGGTGGCTCACACCTGTAATCCCAGCACTTGGGGAGGCCGAGGCGGGTGGATCACCTGAGAGGTCAGGAGTTCAAGACCAGCCTGGCCAACATGGTGAAAACCCATCTCTACTAAAAATACAAAAAATTAGCCGGGTGTGGTGGCCCGCGCCTGTAGTCCCAGCTACTCGAGAGGCTGAGGCAGGAGAATTGCTTGAACCCAGGAGGCGGGGGTTGCAGTGAGCCAGAATCCCACCATTGCACTCCAGCTTGGGCCACAGAGCAAGACTATCTCAAACAACAACAACAGCAACGAAAATAAAAAACAGAAAGGAAAAGAAAACCTAGGCTGGGCATGGTGACTCCCGTCTGTAATCCCAGCACTTTGGGAGGCTGAGGCGGGCAGATCACCTGAGGTGGGGAGTGTGAGACCAGCCTGGCCCCCATGGTGAAACCCTGTCTCTACTAAAAATACAAAAATTAGCCAGATGTGGTGGTGCACGCCTGTAATCCCAGCTACCTGGCAGGAGAATCACTTGAACCCAGGAGGCGGAGGTTGCAGTGAGCCAAGATCATGCCACCACGCCACTGCATTCTGGCCTGGGTGACAGAGTGAGACTCTGTCTCAAAAAAAAAAAAAAAAAAGAAGAAAATCTAAGTGAAAACTGCTGAAGCCAGCTGGAAAGCGGCTTCTGTTTGTCCAGATGAAGCCAGCAGAAGTAACAAGGGAGCCTTCAGTGACCTGGGGCTCCGTCCCCACTGCCTGGTGCTGGCCGTGGGGCTGCAGGATTTTAAGGCCCTGCCAGCCTGAGGCCCCGTCTCCTCCTCCTATCTTATCCTCCCATGAGAAGGCAATGAGACAGATGTCTTCGCAGCGCCCCTTCACCCACTCACCCGCCCATCCGCTCATCTATCCATCCAACAAGCTGTTATTAGGCACCGGCTGTGTGCCAAGTCCCTGGGGCTGGAACCCAGATCTGGGGCAAAGGTACAGACCCTAAGCTGAGGCCTGTGGAGGGAGTGGCAGGCCCTGTGGGGCAGGGGTCCTGGCAGGTGTGCTGGGGTCATCCCCATTGTGCCGCTCGCTGGGCTGGGGCTCATACAGCCAGGTGGCCCAGCCTAGAGTGTGCATATCCTCACAGTGAGGCGGTGGCCAGGCTGGCACAGGGCACTTTCTGCTCAGGAAAGGGGTCCCGCGGGTGGGTGCTGTGTCCTTTCTGCTCTTCCTAGGTGAGGAGGGACCACAAAGGAGAGCACAGGGTGGCTTCAGCGGGGGTGGCTGGACACTGGGATGGTCAGCCTGGAGGTCACTTGGCCGTTTCAGCCTCCTGGGCACCCTCCCCAACTCCTGCTGGCCCAGGTGCCCTGGGGTCTTCACCCTCACCCCACTTACTCCAACACTGCTCTCTCCTTCCCCCGGGGCGTTTCCCTCCCTGCCTGTGCCCTGGTTGAAGGCTGAACCATGCCTGGAGCTCTGCTCTGGTTAAGAAATGTTTGTGGAATATCTGACCAAAAGGATGCTGCAGCAGCCCCGGAGGCCAGGACCAAGTGGCATGTTGATGGTGCAGATGAGACACTGGGACTCTGAGAGGCCACAGAACTTGCCAAGGGCACTCCATGGCTGAGGAAGGGGCCAGGTCCCGCCCATTCCAGACTGGCTCTCACTGGGTGCAAGGGACCTGGTGGCGACGGTGGCCGCACGGGTCTCTGTCCTTATATGCACATCCAGCCATGCAGGCGGGTGTCTGTGGTGGGGCTGGCGTGGGCTGACCTCCGATCTCCCTGGTGCTGACTGCTGAGTTCATCTTTGAGGTTAGCAGTGTTAACTGCCTCCCTGTCACAGCGTCTCAACGCTCCCACAGTGGTGGGGGCCACAGCGCAGGGGGCCACCCCTCTCTGAGCCCGAGCAGGGCTCTGGGCAGAAGTCCAGGAGTCTCTCAGTGTCTCTGATGTCCTTCCTTCTAGGCGGGGGTTTCAGATCTGGTAGTGGTGGCTCTTCAGACCCTTACTCCGCATCAGCAGTTCCCGGGGCACCATTGCCACCTCCCACCCCAAGAGTCCCTGCTCCAGGTTCTATCCTACCAAGGAAAGTCTTCCCTACAGGAAGCAGGGACCTGAGCTCTCTGCTCCACTCCTGGCCCAGGCATAGTGCCAGGGCCTGACCTTCATGGGGCCTTGTGGCTCCTGGCAGGGACTGAGTAGATGGGGCCAGGACAGGCAGATGCCTGTGGCCTGTGTGTGTGACAGGCCCTGTGTGTGGGACCCATGGGGACAGACAGGCTCTCTGGGGTGAACTCCCACATCCTGAATAGATCTGAGCCTAGAGACCATCAGAGTGCCATCCTGGCACCTTCCCAGGCGTCACCGAACCCTCTGTGGGGCCGTGGATCCCGGCACCTTCCCAGGCGTCACCGAACCCTCTGTGGGGCCGTGGAACCCGGCACCTTCCCAGGCGTCACCGAACCCTCTGTGGGGCCGTGGATCCCGGCACCTTCCCAGGCGTCACCGAACCCTCTGTGGGGCCGTGGAACCCGGCACCTTCCCAGGCGTCACCGAACCCTCTGTGGGGCCGTGGAACCACACAGTTGAGGTGTGGCGATGCCAAAACCTCGACCTTGACCTTGGCTAGCTGCAGGGACAGCCTCAGGCCTGTGCGGGGACGCCTCACCATGGCTGGGGCTTTCTGGACTCTACTTCGGGCTTCTGTCTACCTTCTTGTCCTGTCCTTCTTCCCAGTGGTGACCCTGTGGGGCAGGGTACACAGCCCACCCCAACCAGGGAGGGTTTTCTCCCTTCCTCCTTCGTCTCCTGCCAACAGGGAGCGTGGGCCAGCCGAGAAGCCTTTCCGAGAAGCAGAGTGAGTGCGTTTTGGAAAGCAGGAGCCTACTGCATGCCGAGGGGCTTGTCCCCGAAGTCCTGGGTCTGCCCTGCACAGCTGCAGAGTTGAGCCCCTGCCTCCTAGTGGTTGCTGCACTCATGAACTGGAGCACCTAGCAGGGTCTGGGCCAGGCTCGGGGCCCCTGGGTGCGCCCCACCAGCTGGCTTCTCTGAGCCCTGGCTTTGAGGACACACGGGGCTGTGCCAGCTGCACGGAGGGAGAAGTGGCTGCTGGAGCCCCTGGGGATTCCTCCCCAGCTGCCACAGAAGACCCATCGCCCATTGTCTCTGCCCAGAGGCCTCTGCCAGCGGCGGGTCCCAGGCTGGGGGAGGTTGACAGCTGCTGCCTGCTGCTCCCCACCCAGGCAGCAGCTCCCAGCCAGAGAAAGAGCCGGGCTGGGACTCTGGGAGCCTCCAAAGGACAGGGTGGGCCTCGGGGCCTCAGAGCAGTTCCAGACGGCTGCAGGAGTGGGAGAAGCAGCAGTTTCTCAAGAAGAGCGAGAAGGCTTGGACCACAGCCTCCGCTTCCTCTTCTGGAGAAAAGCCACAGCTCAGCGATGCTGGCTGATAATTCTGCAGCCTCTGTCCCTGGAGCCTGCAGCAGAGGCTGGGAGTTTCGAACAGGTGACAGCAGGTGGCCCCTGAGGCTCTGGGTGGAAAGCGGGGTTGGGAGAAGAGGTTGGATAGTTCAGGGAAAGAGCTCAGATTCTTGATGCCACTGAACTTGTTGTCTGAACTGGAGCACTTTTGAGAATGAAAATAAACTGTGTTAATTATCACACCAGGACAATGGATGTAAACTGGGACTCCAGGGCAAATCGAGATGTGTGTTACCCTACTTACTACCACCTCCCAGCTGCGTGGATTTGGGCAAGTTACATAACCTCTCTGAATTCTGGTTTCTGCATAAAAAAGGCCAACATCATGTGCCTGCCTCCCAGGGCTGCGGGAGGGATGGAAGAAGTGAATTACCTGAGTTCCCAAAACAGCCCTTGGCATGGAGCCGGTGGGGTGAGGGGCTCTCCGTGCTTGTTCTTTTCCTCTGAGAGTAGTGGGTTCTCTGTCCCTGGAGGTGAGCAAGGGCCTGCCTGCCAGCGTTCTGTAGTGTGAGGGCCTCAGCAGGGCATATGTGCAGCTACAGAGCCAGATTCCAATCCTGCCTGTGCCCTCCAGAAGGATGGCAAGTGAGTGTGGGAGAGTCAGGCCTTCGTGTACCTAGGGGAGGATGGGCCCGTGATGGGTCCCAGGCTGGCACTCCTTGGTGGACTTGTGCCCTCTCCTATCCCAGGTGGTGGCGATTTGTGCCATGGAGGGCCACCAGCAGGGCCCAGCCCAGAGCAGCTTTGCTGTATCATGGACCGGTCTTTGGCTTCAAAGCCTTGGCATCAGTTCAGGGAAAGTTTGCCTGCTCCTGCCCTCCTGGGGTTGCGCTGGGCGAATGCAGAGCTTCCCTGGGGGTCTGAGAGGACTGGAAGATGAGCTGGAGGAAGGAGGCCGCTTGCATTTTCTGTGCCTGCTCCCGGGTCCTGAGAAACTGAGCAGAGCCTGTTCCAACCTAGAATGTTTTCAAGAGTTGGGTGTGGGGCCTGGCTCTGCCACCTGTGGTCATTTGAGCTTAGGCAAATCAGAGGTCTCTAGGCCTCAGGTTCCTTGCTGGGAGGCAGGGGTGGGTCAACCTATCATCTTCCCAGGACATGGGGAAGGGCTGTAGGTAGTGTGGGCCCCACATGGCTCTGCTCTCCACCTTCAGGCCCCATGCACGTTATTTTCATCTGTTCCCCCACAGCCCTGGGAGCTCCTGGAGGCACAGCCTGCGACCCTGAGGGATAAGCTCCATCTCCAGAAGGAACGAGTGGATGAGGTCAGAGCCCAGCAGTGACCTGTCTGTGCCAGAGTCCACCCCCACCACCAAGGCCAGAGCTGCTGCAGCAGGTGGAACGGACATGCCTCCTGCCAGATGCCTTGGCTGGATCAGCAACTCTCCAAGGTGGCCTCATGCTGGGGACATTACCCCAGGGGTATCAACTTCTGGCTACTTTGTCTCCTTTCCACTTCTCATGCACAGAGAAGGTTCTTCTGGCCAGAAGGATGACCTCTGAAAATGTCAGATCCGGAACGCATCCGTGCTAATGGCACTCAGCCCTCAGCAAACTCGCCTGGCCAGTCCCCCCCATTAAACACGGAGCCAAAAGCCCACAGGCGGCAGTTGGGGCTCACAGGCAGCCGAGGAGGCAGGAAGTCAGTGTGCTACCACAAGGGTGGGTCCTCAGGGTGGGTGCAGGGTCCCTCTCAGGACTGAGTCCCCAGGCAGAGGCCACACGGCTTCCCATCAACCCCCTCTTCACACCTTTGGCTTTGGCACAGGCAGGGTCTCCCCAGCTACACTCTCCTGAGTAACGTCACAGGTAACACCACACAAAGGGCAGGCCGAGGTGTGTGTTTTGTCTTATGCCACTTCCTCGCTGTGTGGCACCCAGACAAAGGTGACCTACAGCTGAGAAACGCATGTCTCCGAAAATGGGGCCACTGGAGTTCAGGCAAGAGAGGCCAAAATCCTACCAAAGATGCTGGGGCCAATTGGCCCATTATGGAGCATCCTGAAAAACGAGGCCACCACAATACCAAAGGACTACAGCAACTGCCACACACGTCCACCCAAACAATCTGCCAATCTTTCTCGCTGACCCCAAATACTGGGATATTATCCAGTGTTGATAATTTGTAGGCAAAAGAATGGTCTCACATGGTTTTATCATATTTTTATTCATGGAGATTGACCTTTTTCACATATTTGCAGAGCATGTATATTTCTTTTTTTTTTTTTTTTTTTGAGACGGAGTCTTGCTCTGTCACCCAGGCTGGAGTGCAGTGGCACGATCTCGGCTCACTGCAACCTCCGCCTCCTGGGTTCAAGCGATTCTCTTGCCTCAGCCTCCTGAGTAGCTGGGACTACAGGCGTGCCTGTACACCACGCCTGGCTAATTTTTGTATTTTTAGTAGAGACGGGGTTTCACCATGTTGGGCAGGCTGGTCTCAAACTCCTGACCTCGTGATCCACCTGCCTCGGCCTCCCAAAGTGCTGGGATCCCAGGCGTGAGCCACAGTGCCGGGCCATGAGCATGTGTATTTCTTCTTCTGAGACTAGCCTGTTCACATCCTTGGTCCACCTGCCCCCTGGGATGTTTCTGACTGGTTCACGGGTATTTGGTATGATGGATACTAATCCTTTGTAATATATTTTCTCCTCTTTTCCCCGTCATTTGTCTTTAAATTTTGTTTGTGTTGTCTTACACGAAAAGCTTTAGTTTCACAAGGGCCCACGCGTGGCTCTTCCTTTGGCTTCTGGGTTTCGTGTTATGCTCAGAAGCTCTTGCACTGAGATGATTCAGCTGCTGCCTCAGACGTTCTGAGAAACAACGGCCACAACACTTGCAGCGGCAGCAAAACATGCTTATTCAAAAGAAAATGTTTATTTTAAAAAGAAGAACTATCACCCCCCAGCATTTATTTAAATATTAATAGAGACGAGTAAAAACTTCAAATGGTATAACAAGAATAACAGCTTTATAGTCACAGATGGTCAGATGCTGACAAACAAGAAAGAGGGTCTATGTACATTGAGATTCGGTTGTTATGAGAATGCATATGAAGGCTTAAGAAACGGTCTATTTATAGGCTTCGGTGGAGCCATAATCCCCAATTTGCTATTGGCTCCTGATGTCGCTTGAGAAGTATGTGAGGCTGAACTGGATCCAATGATGCTGGAGGATTTCGTTTTGGAAGATATCTTTCTACATGTGGCAGACCCCCTGAAATGTGACAAAGAAAAAAATCAAAATGTTAAATGAAACCAAAAATGAATGACCTTCCTCTCAACCTGCACAGAGCTACAATACCACTTCCCTGGGCCTAATGTGTCCTTGTGCATTTTCTGCCTACGAGCCCCCTAGGTAAGGTAAGTTTCCTTTACTACTTATGGAATAAAGGACCGCGGCCCTTCATATAAATTTGTTCTGGATTTGTCTTTCTGAAATGTGCAGGACTGTTTCTTAATTTTCTGACTTGTGACCAACCCACCGCCCCTCTCTCCACCCACACCTTCGGCAGCCTACAACCAGAGCCTGCAAGAGGAGCTGAGGTCCACATGTCCTCATCTATTCTGACCAAATAAAAGAAGTGAAACACCTTGCTGTAAGGCCCCAGCTCCCTGCTGACAGGCACCCCGGAATGACTGGACTTGCACAGTCCAGAGCAAGGCAGCTGTGGGGTGAGCATGCATGGGGTGGAGCTGGGTGGCCAGGAGTGGCAAAGCTGGGCGTCTTCCTGGCCAGCCCCAGGAAGCCCCAGGAAGGCTGCAGATGCGGCCTTCTGTTAGGACCGTGTCCAGCAGCTCCCTGGCTCACCTGCCTACACCCAGAGATCTGCCAGCTCTCCCTCCCACTCGCTGCCTTCTAAAGCCAAGGAAGAAGCCGCCAGAGCCGATTACCAAGTCCTTCCAGCATCTCACTTTCCTTGCAGACCTTAAGATAACAGCTCCCTTCCCACCCTTAAGTAAAATAAAAACAAACAAAACCATGGGGCCGGCATGTTTACAGTGATGGCTGTGGGCAGCATTACCCGCAGAAGCCTTTCCTGCTGCTCTGTAACCGGCTGATGTCAGGCCCCACACTAATTCCACGGCACCAGGGCATACAAGTAGCCTCCCGTCTGAATTGAGGGTATAGGGCCACAGCCTGTGGGTAATGACATTCTGATGGAGCTCCATGACTTAAACTCTGGCTCCAAGGCAGTTTTACTGCAGAACTGGCAGAGATCTGCTAGACTGGCAGAGATGCAGCCTGAAGTTTCCCTATGCTGATTTCCTGCTGAGAAATTAAGCCCAGAGAGAAAACCTGCTGTTTATGTTGATTTACAGAATGAATCGGCCAACAGCAGCCTCCATTTCACCTGGGCCATCCATTTACTCCCACTCAGAGAGCCCAGAACACAACTGGTTCATTGTGTGTTGTTCTGAAGATGTGAAACTCTGAGGGTAGGGTGGGGAGGTGAGGTTGCTGGCAGAGAGCCACATTTATTCTTTCACTGCACAGGGACTCTCAATCCGGGGAGCACACTGGGTCGGTGGAAAGGAGAGTGGAGCAAAAAGAGGCTGCTCCAAGGGTAACACAAAGTCACACAGTGCACTGGCTTTAGCTGGTAGGGCTTAAAAAAGAATCCCATCTTGGCTGGGCACAGTGGCTCACGCCTGTCATCCCAGCACTTTGGGAGCCAAGGTGGGTAGATCACCTGGGGTCAGGAGTTCGAGACCAGCCTGGCCAACATGGTGAAACCCCATCTAAAAATACAAAAATTAGCCCAGCGTGGTGGCGTGCACCCATAATCCCAGCTACTTGGGAGGCTGAGGCAGGAGAATAGCTTGAACCCGGGAGGCAGAGGCTGCAGTGAGCCAAGATGGTGCCACTGCACTCCAGCCTGGGTGACAAGAGCAAAACTCCATAACGACAACAACAACAACAAATCCCATCTTAAACACCCAGGCTCACTGAAAACAAGCATGGAAATGGGTACAAGTGTGAGCTTTACTGCTTCTTATCAGATTAGGTTCCAGATGATGCTGCAAAGTGCTTCACTCTTACAAACAAAAGTTGTGAAAATTAAATAAGGGAGCCAATAGCAATATGGTTTGCTTTGTTCTAATACATAAAGATGAGATGGAAGACCATGCGTGTTTTTTAGGAGTCTCCACAGGCAACATGCAGAAGTGAACGTGCTCTGGGCAGGTGTGGGCAGGCCAGTGTCCGCTTCTACCTTTGAAATCGAGACCAGGCAGGGTTGTCCTCCGATAAGCCCTCCCCAGGCCAGGCCTAAGCTTCCTCTTCAAAAACCCTGGGTGTTGAGCCAGATGCCTTTTAAGGTCTCCGGCTCTGTGTGAGTTACTGAGGAAATGAGTATTTCCCAAAGTGGAGGAATAAATGATGGAAATAAGAAAATGTTCTCACTGAAGAGCACTTACTGATCACTTGCGCACTCAAAACCACAAAATTAAACTAACGTTTTCTAATGCCTTTAATTTCGGTACTCTGGCAGGAGGATTAGCACATACAAGATTTTGTTTATGGACTTAACAAGAAAATGACAATTTGGTAATGTCTGCCTTCCTTTCTCTTTCCCCACTCAGTTCTTGTTTTTTATTACTCAGAAGGACAAGAGGTAGAAAAACTGCAAAAGAAAACACAACAGCTTGCAAAAGTTGACTGTGGACTTTTTTTTGGTTTCTTTTTTCTGCAAGCAACTCTGTTACAATATACAGTTACTTTGGGGTCAAGTTCTCAAGACTGATGGAATGGTCTCCCTCCTGCCAGGCCTAACCTACTAGCCAGAAGGCAGAGGGTGCCCTGGCAGAAAATCAAAAAGCGGCTGTCAGAAACAATGCAATTATGAAGAAAGAAGGAAACTGCCAAGATCATCACACATATCAGACCATGCTGTCTTTGTTGTTCCCCTGGTGTGCAGAAAGCGCCCAGAACAGACATGTCCCAGACGAGCGGCCCAGGAAAACATGGGAAGGGGAAGACAGAAGCCATTTACGCAACCCCTAAAGAGGCCTGGCTTGACTGAACTTTTGGTTTCTCTGTTGTGGCTTCTTCTTGCTACCCCTGCAAAGGCTGGGAGGTCGATTCTCCCAGGTGTTAATGAAAGGCAGGGAGTGTGCACGTGCTTCAAGGTGGAGATCCATGGGATTCTGCAGCAATAAAAGCAGCGGAGCAAGTACTGACAGAATAGTAAAAGCCACGAGGACACAAAACCCTTTGTTATTTATTCAGCTAGTGTATGATTTATAGTATTGTAGGTGGAAAAGTCTCTTAAGAAGAACAATCATCCCAAACAGGCAAACAAATATCTAAGGGAAGATCAACATGGAAGACATCTTTGCAAACAAGAAACATTAGTCAGGCTGAGTGCGGTGGCTCACGTCTGTAATCCAGCACTTTGGGGAGACCAAAGTGGGCTGATCACTTGAGCTCAGGAGTTTGAGACCAGCCTGGGCAACATGGGGAAACTCCATCTGTACAAAAAATACAAAAATTAGCCAGGAGTGATGGTATACACCTGGAGTCCCAGCTACTCAGGAGGCTGAGGTGGGAGGATCACTTGAGTACAGGAGGCAGAGGTTGCAGTGAGCCGAGATTGTGCCACTGCACTCTAGCCTGGGCAACAGAGTCAGACTTTGTCCTCAAATTAAAAAAAGAAAGAAAACTTTAGTCATAACTATTAGTCAGTAGATGTTTTAAACATCTGAAGCAAATATTTTTTGTTGTTTCTTGAAGCAAATATTTTTGTTTTGGATCAAACCTTAATTGTCACTCCATTAACAACTGTCATTCCATTAGCAATATTTAATAATGGCTTATTTTAATAAATCCTTCAAAGCAAGGCAGAGCTGTTGCACTTTTGTCCTTTCTTCCCTTGTTCCCTATATTGAAAAAGATGTCACAAAACATACCCCTTTGCCTTGGAACCACTGGAAGCAGTTTTTCTCCTCTTAGACCTTTGGGAGGCTGGCATCTTTTTCCTCTTCCTTTCATTTCTGGTTTTACTTGCAAAGTAGTGGGAAGATACGGGTATTTCCTCGTCGAGCTCCTCAGCGGCACTTCTTCCGGGGCCTCTGCTGCTGGACAGGCTTATCCCTGGGGAACTGTCTTCAGCTACAAATGGAAAATGCAGATGTTTACAGGTGATGTCGCACTGGTCCACGTGTTTTTAGTGTATATGAAGAGACACGCTGCAGGGGCCCATTTTAGCAGATACCTAGCTGCTTCCCTGCCATATGGATTCAACAATTCAGCAAGAACCAAACCTTTTTTTACTGCACAAAGCCCCAAAGTGTTCAATGGCAATTCATTTTTAACAAAAGAGAATCAGAATTCATTAAAAAAATTTGTGATAGTCTTGAAGTTAACTAGAGACATGAGGTTTAGCTCATACTGTCGCATATGGCCTGTGTTCCTGTTGTTGATTGGGCAGTTAGTTCTGGTAGGCAATTCAAAAAGTATCAACTGCTATAAAGATGGCAGGCAATTTTACTTATTTTAAATGTGCTGAAAAAATCAGCTCAATATAAGGGAAACAAACGGTCCTGTATCTCATCTTTGAACAATAGTTTCTTAGTAAATGAACATAAGAAAATTCTAGATCCTATTTTACTCTTTACAGACAAAAAAACTTGTCTTTGCACAATATGGCTGAACATGTCACATATTATGCGGGAGGTGAGACCGCATGAAAGCACACATTTGCAAAGAAGATGGTAATTTCCATAAGTATTTGCATCCCAAGGCACCCAAAAAGCATGAAACCTCCCTATAGATAGCTCACACGGGGACCCAGTCTCCATTTCCTGGCTGGTCTGCCTTGTCCTACAGGCCACCCTACAGGAGCAGCATGGAGGGCACAGGACTCCACCATGGCTGCTCCAACCCTGGCTCACTGTCAAAATGTATTCGGAACAAGGCTTTTAATGGACTAATTACCATATAGAAGAATTTAGGAGAACCTGACCAGGTGTGGTGGCTCATGCCTGTAACCCCAGCACTTCAGGAGGCTGAGGCAGGTGGATCACTTGAGGTCGTAAGTTCAAGACCAGCCTGGCCAACATAGTGAAACCCCAACTCTACCAAAAAAATACAAAAATAAGTCAGGTGTGGTGGTGCATGCCTGTAGTCTCAGCTACTGGGGAGGCTGAGGTGGGATAATTGCTTGAATCTGGGAGGCATAGTGAGCCAAGATTGTGCCACTGAACTCCAGCCTGGAGTGAGACTCTGTCAAAAAAAAAAAAAGCGACTAGGTAAAGAGAGAACTTGAACTATCTCATCCTGCTCATCATTTCCATCATCCTTGGGAAGACCCCCACACTGCCTGTCTGGAAGCAGGAAGAACACTGAACCGGGCCTGTCTGTTGTGTCCTATTACGTGGTGATGTTATCAGAGGGCAGAAGACTTCTGTGCTCTCAATATTTCCTACAACAAAATGCTTTGTTGTTCTCATTTCCCCCAGGTCAATGATTTCTAAAGCTGTAATGATGATGAAGCTCATGATTAGAAGTGCCACAGGACAGGCCTAACGTGACTCCGGGAACGTCTGATAATGATGCACTCAGGCAGGTTCTATCAATGACTAACAATAATAACATTCTAGCTGCATGCTCATTTCTCCAAAACATTTAAACACTAGTCTTAAATTTTATCTTTAGACATGTTTGTCAGATAACATGTTCCTTCCTTGGTGGAGGAACCTGATTCACAAAGAGGCTATTGGTGGCCTGCTAGAGACCACACAGCATGACGTGGTGGCAGATCTGGAACTGGTACCCAGGGCTCTGATCCCTTGAGCACTTGCATTACGGGAACCAGCAACCCCTGGGCCCAAAGGTCCCCTTTTGGATCCTATGAGTAAGTTCAGAACTGGCACTCACAGGGGGCATAAGCACTAGTGTCCTCTCAGAGGTGACTGGCACACCACTGGGGGCTGACTTGGATGTCAGTGTGACGAGGTGTAGGAAGCATTCACACAACTGCATCCTTCTAATTCAGTGAGACGCGTCGCTTCACATTAAACAGGCTTTTAGAGAACACACATGGCTGTGTACTAACCTGGCGATGTCCATTCAGAGTATTTCTGTAATACTGAAATCACTTCCGCACCATATTTTTCCAGTTTGTCTTCAGTAACACCATCAATTTGAAGCAAAACCTCAGGATCAGAAGATAAAGATTCTGTGCAAAGGCATAAAATTAGGAATTTAAATTATCACCCATAGAAAACCCACTGAATTCAGGCTCATTCACGCATTCAGCACACGTCTGCTAAGTGCCAACTAACTGCAGGGTACTGGGAACACAGGCCAATTTTGTAAAAGGCAAAGTTAGCACCTCAGAGGCAGCAGACAGGCACAGAGGGCAGGAACCCACCATCCAATTCCAGCGGCATAGGCCAGGGCAGAGCAAGGGCAAGAGCCAGGGCAGGAGGAAGCTGAGGGTGGGACCTGTGCCATGTGCGTGGAGTGGAGCAGATCTGCTCTTGCCCACTGTTCCCATGGCCAGTACTCATCTAGCTGAGACTGGTGTGCCCTCTCTTTACTGAGAACGCTGCATTTCTATTTCCAGCTCCAGCCTCTTCTCTGCACTCCAGACTTGTACACCCCACCCTAGACGGCATAACCAAATTGTTACTTCCTCCAGCACAAACTTTTCTTCCTCCACTCTTTCCCCATGTGGGTTGAGGCAACAAGCAGCCAGCTGAGTCCTCTGCATAGAGGTCGCATATCAGTCTTGCAGCTAGACAAGCCTGTCATTTAAAGGCCACCCTGGCTGCTGTTTAAGAACTTGACTGTAAAGGAAAGAGTAGAATCCGGGAGCCTGGTGGAAGCCATTGCAGGAGCGAGTGAGGATGGAGTGAACTGGAATGCAGTAGTGGAGACACAGTGAAGCAAGCTTGGGTGAGTTTTGGAGGCTGGCTCTGTAGGACTGACTGATGCACTGGCTCTGGGTAGTGAGGGAGTAACCATTCCTATGTATTTGAGCTGAGCAAAGAGTGGATTTCAAATCCTTTCCCATCTGTGATTTTCACATCATTCCCATGTTTAGAGGAAAAGCAAGAGACTGTGGACAGAACAGAAGGTTTATGAAGGGGGTTTAATGAAAGATAAAGTAGGAGAGGCAGGAAGAAATGTAGACCCTTGATAAAATGTATACTTTATCTGGGAAGCTGTTGTAGTTTTACTAGGTTTTGAAAGATTAAAATGTACATCACATTCACAGCTGGAGGTAAGGAGGACAGTTAAGAAACTACACTAATCGCCTAGAAATAACATATCATAAAATACCAAATTTCATCAATTCTAAGACACACACCTTTTCACAATTTAGCATTCCTGAGGTCAAGATATGTCTTAGAACTGCTGATGGCTAAATGGCAGCTGCCTTGCGGTTGTTACTGCTCATGCTTGTGAGAACTTAGTCATAGCTATTAGTACTGTCAGCATGTCAACAAAGTCACTGCACTGTTTGTACCTCATGTATTGAGTCTAACTGCCATGACATGTCTTCAAAAAGACTATACTGTGATTAGCATTAAAAAAGTGATTGTGAATGCAGAAAAGTTCTGAAACAGAGTAGCAGGGAATACATTTGGTATTAAGAAAAGCACTATCTGGCTGAGCGTGGTAGCTCATGCCTGTAATCCCAATACTTTGGGAGGCTGAGACAGGGCGGATTGCTTCAGCCTAAGAGTATGAGACCAGTCTGGGTAACAGTGAGGCCCTGTCTCTGCAAAAAAATAAAAAAGCTAGCCAAGCATGGTGGTACATGCCTGTAGTTCCAGCTACTCAGGAAGCTGGGGTAGGAGGATCACTTGAGCCCAGGAGGTCTAGGCTGCAGTGAGCTGTGTTCAACCACTGCACCCAGCCTGGGCGACAGAATAAGATCTTATCTCCAAAAAAACAAAACAAAGCAAAACAAAAAAAACCCAGGCACTATTTGTCTCTGAGGACACAGGCCCCCAATTCCATAGTTTCTCGCAAGTACAACCAAGTGCTTTACGTGACCTAAGAAAGAAGATGCCCAAAGTAGATGAGGCCGCACTACATTTTTGTTACTGAGAGATGTACAACCTTCTGTTGACACCTTCTGGTATCATCAAGAAACCACCACCTTCAAAACAGAACTGATAACAGAGATTTCGATTAAATCCTGGGGAAAATAGTGGAACACTCTGGAAATGCCTTATGGCTAATGAGAATGTTAGTGATGACATAGGGAAAAACAAAGACATGGACGACTCAGTCAAAAAGTGACTCAGAAGAGTCAGGCTTTGAATGTGAACTTTTATAAGTACCTACGGTAATTTGATTATATGTATTTTTCATACAGGCACACAGCTGTGGATAATAAAAATCAATGTCTAAATCAGTAAAACACAATTTTTTCAATAAAAGCACTGTGTCATAGTTTAATTAGCAGAATTTTTTCTTCCTTAATAGTCCATAAAGTAACAGTATCTTAATATAGTTGGCATCTTAGAGTCAGTGAAATATTGTAATGACCGATTATCGTAGGAGAGGGAATGAAGAAGAGAGAAGGTGATGATTATGAGATTTTATGAAGAAGAATATGGAAGGTA
Source organism: Homo sapiens (assembly GCF_000001405.40). NCBI lineage: Eukaryota > Metazoa > Chordata > Mammalia > Primates > Hominidae > Homo > Homo sapiens. Next base: position 90,806,732 of record NC_000015.10, on the reverse strand, counting down.
ATATAGCCCAGCTGGCCAACTATATGAAGACGTTGTTTTCCAGGAACTCTACTACTGAAATTCTGGGTTGGGCTATCTGCCCATGGAAATAACTCAGACCAGTAAGTATTTATTAACTAAAGACATAGCAGTGTGCTAGATCCAGATTCAAAGAAGCATAAAACATAATCTCTTCATAAGGAAACTAGCTCTTCATTGCAGACTTTTTTTTTTTTTTTTTTTGAGATGGAGTCTCGCTCTGTCGCCCAGGCTGGAGGGCAGTGGCACGATCTTGGCTCACTGCAACCTCCACCTCCTGGGTTCAACCAATTCTCCTGCCTCAGGTTCCCAAGTAGCCGGGATTACAAGCGCCCGCCACCACGCCTGGCTAATTTTTGTATTCTTAGTAGAGACGGGGTTTTACCATGTTGGCCAGGCTAGTCTCGAACTCCTGACCTCAGGCAATCCGTCCACCTCAGCCTCCCAAAGTGCAGGGATTACAGGCGTGAGCCACGGCCCCCAGCCCATTACAATATTACAATTGGTCATTACAATATTTCATTGGATCTAAGATGCCAACTATATTAAGATACTGTTATTTTATGGACTATTAAGGAAGAAAAAATTCTGCTAATTAAACTATGACACAGTGCTTTTATTGAAAGAATTTTTTTTACTGATTTGGACATTGATTTTTATTATCCACAGCTCTGTGCCTATATGAAAAATACATATAATCAAAGTAAATGGTGGGCGCATGCCTGTAATCCCAGCTACTCGGGAGGTTGAGGCAGGAGAATCGTTTGAACCCAGGAGGCGGAGGTTGCAGATATTTGTACATAACACAGCTAAACACTACAAAGCAGGCAAATAATCAGCACAAATAATGAAGTAATGTCTCGTTTTAGAAATTACAATAATCCGGCCGGATGCGGTGGCTCATGCCTGTAATCCCAGCACTTTGGGAGGCTGAGGCAGGGGGATAACCTGAGGTCAGGAGTTCGAGACTAGCCTGGCCAACATGGTGAAACCCTGCCTCGCGGGTTCAAGTGATTCTCCTGCCTCAGTCTCCCAAGTAGCTGGGATTACAGGCACCCACCACCACACCTGGCTGATTTTTTGTATTTTTAGTAGAGACGGGTTTTGCCATCTTGGGCAGGCTGGTCTTGAACTCCTGACCTCATGATCCACCTGCCTTGGCCTCCCAAAGTGCTGTGATTACAGGCGTGAGCCACCGTGTCCGGCCAGATCATTGTAATTTCTAAAACCAGACATCACTTCATTATTTGTGCCGATTATTTGCCTGCCTTATAGTGTTTAGCTGTGTTATATACAAATATCTGCAACTTCTGCCTCCTGGGTTCAGGCTACTTTCCTGCCTCAACCTCCCGAGTAGCTGGGATTACAGGCATGCACCCACCATTTACTTTGATTATATGTATTTTTCATATAGGCACAGAGCTATAATTAAAATTATACCATATATAACATACATAGGGTACCATTATACCATATATAACAAAGTACTATATATATGTTAAAGAACATATTTTATCTTAAGAATGAGTTTAATATTCAATGGTCTTCAGATGTCCTTAAAAAAAAAAGAATAAGTTTCGGCCGCGCATGGTGGCTCACGCCTATAATCCCAGCACTTTGGGAGGCCGAGGTGGGTGGATCACCTGAGGTTGGGAGTTTGAGACCAGCCTGACCAACGTGGAGAAACCCTGTCTCTACTAAAAATACACAATTAGCCGGGCGTGGTGGCACATGCCTGTAATCCCAGCTACTTGGGAGGCTGAGGCAGAAGAATCGCTTGAACCTGGGAGGCGGAGGTTGTGATGAGCTGAGATCGCGCCACTGCACTCCAGCCTGGGCAATAAGAGTGAAACTCCGTCTCAAAAACAAACAAAAAAAGAATAAGTTTCAATTGTTTCTCTGAGATTTTAATCCAGAGATTAAATAAAAATAATTAAAACAACTGAGGCCAGGCTCAGTGGCTCATGCTTATCTGTAATCCCAGCACTCTGGCAGGCTAAGGCAGGAGGATTGCTTGAAGCCAAGAGTTCGAGACCAGACTGGGCAACATGGTGAAACTCTGTCTCTACGAAAAAATACAAAAATTAGCTGGGCATGCTGGTGTGTACCTGTAGTCCCAGCTACTTGGGAAATTGAGGTGGGAAGATCACTTGAGCCCAGGAGGTTGAGGCTGCAGTGAGTCATGATCATGCCACAGCACTCCAGCCCGGGTGACACAGCGAGACCCCGTCTCAAAACAAACCCCAAAAAGAAACAAACCACTGAGATATATTTATCACTTAAGGAGTTCCCTAGCAAGATTAACTTTCGGCCTATTAATCTGTGCCACGTAACAAAGGATACATGTGTACCCACCTGCAAGCTTCTTGAGAGTGACGGTATTAAAAATATTGAAGTAATGGACACCAAAAACTTTCCCCAGAGATTTGCAGACTTCTGTAAGTTCTCCAAGACATTTTTTAACCATCTCTTCCCTCTGAGACACTTTTGCTACTAACGCTTTTTGTTTTTTCACACTGCTGGAATTTTCTGTTTCCATAAAGTCTACCTTTATGAGAGAGAAACAAATCATAGGAGTGGGTATATGTGCACTTGTACCCATACAGGGGCTTTATTTAATGCTTAATTGCATTTTTGGGGGGCAATTCTATTCTGTCATGCAGATAGTGAGCCCACTGGGAACAGGGGCTGTGCATTCTCCATCTTTGTATCTCCAGTGTCAAGCATAGAATAGCCTCTTGATAAATGCTTCTTTAATGAATATATAAAGATTTAGTGACCTGATAACCCATTAAATTACTTTTGACAGGTGTCATATTACTTGGGTTGAATTTTAAGATCTCTTTCCAATTTAAGAAAAACAGAATATGTTCGTATAGAACAGTATATATAAATTCAGTATCTATAAGCTTGGACAAAGACACTATACTTCACAATAATATATTTTGGTTCACTCATTGTGAGATAATAAAATAAACATGAAAAATACTATACCTTTAAATTGCCATTTAGTACAGTTTGGGCTTTATTTCCGAGCATCACATAAGCGATCGCCTGGTCATTGGCATTGATATATAAGTCTTCATCCAAAATCTTGTCAAGTATCAGCTTTTTAAAAAGTCTTTCGGCATTGTGTCGTGAATAAGCAGATCCTTTTCCAAATATACCTGACTGGATTTTTGCACTCTTACTCCCTGATAAGAAGATACAGGAAGTAAGATGAGTAAATGTACGTATATCATCACCCTCAAATAGAAGAGGCTAAAAAGTCATTTATGGACAGGTTTGGACAGATGGAATAGATCACAAACCCCGGCACAGACACTCATTTCTGTTAAATGAGAGTATTTGAGTAGAACGCTAAAATTTCTATGGTTGTATGTACTTTTCCTTATCTTTTTACAATACACATGGACAAAAAACAGCAGCAAAATTATATTGGAGCAAATAAATCAAAGAAAGAGTTTACATAAACCATAATAGCTTCCTATCACTGTGCTATGTATTAGGATAACTGTGCATTACTTATCTACATTTTTTTTTTTTTTTTTAGAGACAGGGTCTCACTCTATTGTGGAGGTTGGAGTGCAGTGGTGCAATCATGGTTCACTGCAGCCTCAAACTCCTGGGCTCAAGTGATCCTCCTGCCTCAGCCTCCTGACTAGCTGAGATAACAGGTGCAGGCCATCACACCCACCTAATTTAAAAATTTTAAATATTTAAGTGCATCTAGTATTTATTAATTTTTAAATTTTTGTGGGTACATAGTAGGTGTATATATTTGTGTAGTACATGAGATATTTTGATACAGGCATACAGTGTGAAGTAAGCACATCATGGAGAATGGGCCATCCATTCCCTCAGGTATTTATCCATTGAGTTGCAAACAATCCAATGACACTCTTTACATTATTTTATAATATTTAATTTTTTTGTAGAGACGAGGGTCTCACTACATTGCTCAGGCTGGTCTCTAACTCCTGGCCTCAAGCAGTCCTCCCACCCTGGCTTCTCACAGTATTGGGATTACAGGCATGAGCCACTGAGCCTGGCTACAAACAATTTTTGACAGTCAGTTTTCTAAATATGATCCCTGGCCCTGGTTATCAAAACTGCTACTAGTTTATAATCCAAGTATTTAAGTCTATTCTTTTTGTCACCCTCACTAATGAAGCCTATTCAAATTCTAAAAGAAAAGCACAACACCCTATAAGATGCTCAAGGGGAGAGATGAAGACAGGAATATGTACACACACTTCCCTCTTTCTCTTACTAGCCGAGAGCCACAGTTGGCTGGATCCTTTGTTTCATTCATAAGCTGCTGTGACTGCTAATGTCTTCATTATAAACACAACTTTATTGTAACAATCTACTTAAGAGACCTTGTGACATTTATAAAAATCAGAATTAATGGTTATTACGTAAAGCTTTAGCTCTGTTTTAAAGAGTTCCAAATAATTATATTATTGTCCATTTCAAATGGCTTCTGGCCATATATCCTGAATTATTCAAAATTTTCTTTAAGTAATTTGTATCCCTGAAAGGCCACATTATAGAAACAGAACTACCGTTCTGCTAATGATAGGCTGAATGGTATGGACCAACCTTACTGCTGAGGACAACTACGAAAGCTGGCTGAAATACAATTTTTTTTTTTTGAGTCAGGGTCTTGCTCTGTTGCCCAGGCTGGGGGTGCAGTGGCGGGATCACAGCTCACTGCCACCTCGATCTCATGGGCGCAGGTGATCCTCCCACATCAGCCTCTGGAGTAGCTGGCACTACAGGTGCGTGCTACCATGCCTGATTAATTTTTGTATTTTTGGTAGAGACAGGGTTTCGCCAGGTTGCTCAGGCTGATCTTGAACTCCTGGGCTCAAGCAATCCGTCTGTCTTGGCCTCCCAAAGTGCTGGAATTACAGACATGGGCCACTGTACCCAGACAGAAAGGTTTATAATTAAAAGCAACATTCCCCTGACTCATCCTTCCCTTCCCCAAGGGAATCGCTTTTTAAACAGTTTTTGTTTTCAGCTCTTCAGGTGGCTACCTACACACAGAAGGACCTGAAATCTTGCCTTCTGTCCAAAAGCCTGACATTTATCTATTGTCCTTGCCCCTTTATTATGAAAGATGAGGTTTTATCTCATTCATACCACCCCCACTTTGTTTTATTCTTCTCTGAATTTTGCTAGTTATATGATACTGTTGGGTCATGTACTAATTATGTTTCTAACTTTCAATAGAACTTCTGACCACTACCCCTTCCCACATGTGAGATGTCATTAGTACCCAAGCCTTCCCTGTATGCCTTCTTTTACTTTTAGCGATTGTACTTTTACTTTTATATCATCAATATTAACATTTACATCTTGTTCTGTCCTGTAACCTTGTTTAGGTCTGTATGTTGATTTCAATCGTTGTTTACATGATGACAAATTTCCTTCCCTAATTGGAACAATGTCATGACTCTTATGGAACCAAAAGGAGAATGTTTACCCATCATGTCAAATGGATGACTTTTTTGTACATTTTACCAACTTTTTTTTTTTTTACAACTTTTTTTTTTTTGAGATGGAGTCTTGCTCTGTCACCCAGGCTGGAGTGCAGTGGTGCGATCTTAGCTCACTGCAACCTCCGCCTCCCAGATTCAAGTGATTCTTCTGCCTCGGCCTCCTGCGTAGCTGGGATTACAGGTGCACAACATCAGTCCCGGCTAATTTTTGTATTTTTTTGTAGAGATGAGGTTTTGCCATGTTGGCCAGGCTGGTCTCAAACTCCTGACCTCAAGTGAACCACCCACTTTGGCCTCCCAAAGTACTGGGATTACAGGCATGAGCCACTGTGCCTGGCCACAACTTCCTTTGTTTTATATTTGATCTTGCTCTCTTGTATAATCTTTTCCCTGGAGTTTCTAAGGGCCTCTCTCCTTTTTTTTGGTTGAGAAGTAACATTTGCATTCTTCACTGTTATCAATAAAACCATTCCTTTCTTACTCTCTCTCTACGTTGGGTGGGCCCTGTTCCTTCTTTTTTTTTTGAGATGGAGTTTCACTCTTGTTGCCCACGCTGGAGTGCAATGGCACGATCTTGGCTCACTGCAACCTCTGCCTCCCGGGTTCAAGCAATTCTCCTGCCTCAGCCTCCCGACTAGCTGGGATTACTGGTGTGTGCCACCACGCCCAGCTTATTTTGTATTTTTAGTAGAGACGGAGTTTCTCCATGTTGGTCAGGCTGGCCTCGAACTCCTGACCTTGTGATCCGCCCGCCTCAGCCTCCCAAAGTGCTGGGATTACAGGCGTGAGCCACCGTGCCCAGCCTCCTCCTGACTTTTGTTAGTCTGCATAGATTGCTTACTGGCCCTGCTGCCTGACTGTGACTATGGGTTTTCTTCACTGGACCCATGGGTGGGTTCCACCACTTATCAAATCACGACCTGTGCTCACTTTCTTTGCCTGCTAGTCTCCAGGATTGCTGATATTAAGCTGATGTCAGTCTGGTTTGGGTTCCTGTTTTCTTTCCAGAGCTTTCAGAATTGTCTCTGAAGGGGTCCAGAATATGCCACTGTGGCATAAAAATTATTTTGAGCAGAAGGCATCTGAAATCTCTTATCTGCCAAAAAGCAGGGCCTCCCAAAAGAACTCAGTTGTCATAAATTGCCTCCCTGGGAAAAACCAGGGAAGGCTGACCCTTTTAAACAGAGATAAGACTTCACACCACACTTAAACAGACATTGTCATAAAAACTTTGTATCTCCCATCTGGTCTCCTAACAGTCCATCTGTCTTTCCTAACAGTCATTTGTTTTTCCATAAGTGCCCCCCTCCTTCTCCCCTTCCTCTATTAAGATGGTATATAAGCCCCACATTCTAACTGCCCCTTTGAACCACATTTTTCTGTGAACTCCTATCCACACATGACTAAATCTGTCTTTTCCCTTGCTAATCTGTTTTTTGTTGGTTTAATTTGCAGGCCCCATCACTGAACCTAAGAGGGTTGAGGAAAAGTTTTTCCTCTTTGACATGTCTTTAACTCTTAGTATTCTCAAATCTCGTGGCCATATGTCTTAATTTTTTTTTTTTTTTTTTTTTTTTTACAGGCATCTTATTTGGCATTCAGTGAGCATTTTAATCCAAAACTTTTATCTCTTCCACTCTAGGAAGTTTTCCTAGATCATTGGTTTGATAATTCCCTTTATTTTCTATTTCCAAAATTTTTGTCAGATTTTACATCTACTGAGGATTAATCCTTTCTATGCTTTCTCTATTTTCCATATATCATTTTGATCAGTTCCTAAATTTTCTTGACTTTATTTTCCAACCTCTCCACTAAATTTACTTTGTCAATCATTTAAAATTGACAGCTCTTTCTCATTTTTATTTCTTTTCCATTATTCAATTATTATTTAAGTATTTATTTTAAAAACTCTTTAAGACGATACTAAGGAGTCTTCTCTCCCCTCTCTCCCAAACTACTATTTTCAATTATTTCTATCACCCAGGGTCAAATATTCTATTTATTTGGTCTTCCTCTTTACTGTCCATTTCTTTCTTTTTTTGAGATGGAGTCTCACTCTGTTGCCAGGCTGGAGTGCAGTGGCGTGACCTCGGCTCACTGCAACCTCCACCTCCCAGGTTCAAGCGATTCTCCTGCCTCAGCCTCCCGAGTAGCTGGGATTACAGGTGCCCACCACCACACCTGGCTAATTTTTGTGTGTGTTTGTTTATTTATTATTTTTGAGACACAGTTTCACTCTTGTTGCCCAGGCTGGAGTGCAATGGTGCGATCTCAGCTCACTGCAGTCTTCACTTCCCGGGTTCTAGCGATTCTCCTGCCTCAGCCTCCCGAGTAGCTGGGATTACAGGTGCATGCCACCATGCCTGGCTAATTTTTTGTATTTTTAGTAGAGACAGGGTTTCACCATGTTGGCCAGGCTGATCTCAAACTCCTGATCTCAGGTGATCCGCCCGCCTCGGCCTCCCAAAGTGCTGGGATTACAGGTGTGAGCCACTGTGCTCAGCCCCTGAGAGATTTTTAAGGCACTAATCTGATAATAGTCTCTCTCCTATTCTCTATGCTGTTATGGGTCTAATCCTCATTTTATTTCCTTACTGACATTTTAATAGTTACATTCCACCCACTCAGATGAACTCGCATAAGCTTTATTATTTTCTTCTTTGTATGTGAAACCATCTCAACTTAGTGACATATACATTATATAAAACAGTATAATAATTGACTTTCTTTTGTTACTTAAAAGTTTTATTCAGAAACTCAAGTTTTATAAGAAAATAGACAAAAAGTTTTTCTATGTACTTGTAATAAATTCTTTAGATGTTCAATTTCAATTGAAGTAACTCAAACATTCAAAACAGATGACTTACCCAAGAAAATGTCGACCAGCATATTCATAGTAAATCTTCCAGAAGGACCTACATGTTTTATATTTCTCATTCCTTGTGATGAACTATGTTCTTGAACAAATCTTACAATACTTTTCACATCGTCAGTCACATCTCTTGTTTTATAATCCTATGAATAAAAAGAGAATACTTTCTGCTATAATTAAGGTAACAATGCCTAGATTACTAGGGTTTAATATTAACTATAGTAGATTCATCATAACCCATTTCCAGACCAATACCGAGACCAAAACCTACGGAAATTTCAAATGTTCATTCTTATCTAAGTTCTAGAACAACTACCACTCGATGTTGTTACTGTTTCACAGAGATACGTCTTGTCTTTCAACTACCTGATAGCACTCTGTGGGTAGAAACACATATATAACACACAGACACACACACAAACACACAATTTAAATCCTCCATGCCTCCTAGAATAGTGCTCTGTTACATACTGGGTGGGAACCTGTGGGGTGCCACGTAAATCCACGGATTCTAACCCCTCTGGGGTCTTTGGTGCCATAGTCAACGCTCTTTTCATCATCTCCTGCTAGTTTCCTTTCTCATTTCCTTCAGCTATCCCCAAACTTTGCCCACTTTTTAGAGTCCCCGTTACTAGATGACTTTTTGCCTTTCTCTCCCCTAGTTCTCTCTACCATCAATACTGACCACTCACAGGTGTAAAAAGCTGCATCATGCTTGGTGCTTCTGTGTATGCAGCCCTCCCTACCTTCTAATCCTTGTCATTTGCACACACCAATAACCTGGAGATGAACAGGTTTCTGGTCTTACACTAACAACTGCAAGTGATTCTGAGGCCCTATCTAGAGTCATCAAGAAAAAGTGCCCTGTCACTCCATTCCTATCTTAATTTTTTTTTTTTTTTTTTTTTTTTTTTTTTTGAGATGGAGTTTCGCTCGTCGCCCAGGCTGGAGTGCGATGGCGCAATCTTGGCTCCCTGCAACCTCCACCTCCCAGGTTCAAGCGATTCTCCTGCCTCAGCCTCCTGAGTAGCTGGGGTTACAGGCACCTGCCACCATGCCCGACTAATTTGTCTGTATTTTTAGTAGAGATGGGGTTTCACCACGTTGGCCAGGCTAGTCTTTAACTCCTGACCTCAGGTGATCCGCCGGCCTCAGCCTCCCAAAGTGCTGGGATTACAGGTGTGAGCCACTGCACCTGGCCATCTACCTTAATTCTTGGTGATTAGGTATACAGAGCTGATCCTCTTACTTTGGTCTTTTGGTTCTTGATCTCCTCTGCTCCAATGATCCTGTCCTCCACATACATCAGCCGCTCACACTTCCTACCTTAAGCTTACTAATAATGGCAACTCCTCCATTCTCAGACCACCACATCCTATCTTTCCAACTCATACCATGTGGTATTCTGACTCCAACAATCCCCTGGGAATGCCCATCTGCTGATCCTCAACCTCAGATGTCCTCCTAACTCAGCTGAAATTCCAGTCGATCATTATAATCACTACCTCTCATAGACCCTCAGCTCTCTTGCCCTTAGATCACTTCAACATATTACCTGGCAAAACATAATGGATCCAATTCTCCATCTCCATAGGTCCCTGTACCTATGTGGCTGAACTTGGCATTTTCACTGTCACTACGTGGCCACAAAGCTCGAATGGACTGTTAATGCTGTAGGCAATCATTATCTTTATACTTCCCTAGCCTATCATTCCTCCATTCTCTCACAACAGAAGTCAGCAAACTATGGCCCAGGAGCTGGATGCCTGTTTTTGTGCATAAAGTTTTATTGGAACACAGCCATGGAAGATGACTAGAAAATTGGTGTATTTATTATTTATGTCTGCATTTAGACTACAATGGCAAAGCTGTGAGTCGTTGTGACAGAGACTATGGCTGCGAAGTGTACAATATTTATGCTGTGGCCCTTTAAAAGCAAGTTTACTGACCCCTGTCCTAGACAACTATTTCATACTTTCTCCTTTCTCTTCCGTCCCTTCTCTTATCCCGACTGTCAGCTGATGGCCATGCTTTAAATATCACCCATGTGCCACCAGTCTGTTTTCAGAATTTTTGAATCTTAATATGTAATTCAATATTAGATTCCCAATTTAGGTAACCCAAACCAAACTCCTGATCTTCTCTGCCAACCAGCCTTCTGCATCTTAGCCAAGGATAACTCCATCCTTCCAGTTACTCAGGCCTCCAGTTACTCTGGGACTCTAGCCCTCAACTGACTGCTCTGGCTCTCCATCACCTCTTCCCCTCACTGGCTCTTAATCCTGCTCAGCCACATGGGCTCCCTTGCCATCTCTCGAACACACCAGGCACACCCCCACCTTAGGGCCTTTGCTCTAGCCAAAGCTTCTTGCAGGAAAGCTCACATCCAGGGAGCTGCCAGCTAACTCCCTTCTTCAAGATTTTCCTCAGCTCCCATCTTCTCAGTTAGACTTCCAAGGACCACCCCGTCTAATACTGCATCCTGCACTCTACCCATTCCTCCTGTCTTTTTACTCTGCTGTGCCATTCACCACAGCTCTTATCCTTTCATGTATATTTATTGTGTATATTGTTTGTAACTGGCCTCCCTCTGCTAGAGTGTAAGCTCCACAAGGGCAGGGATTTTCATTTTGTTTAGTGATGTATCCCAAATTCCTACAACAGTGCCTGTTACACAGCCCAACAAATATCTGTTGAATGAGGGAACTGATAGCAATGTTTAAGGGATGGGGTGGGGTGGGAGGAGATGGCATGAATTTGCCAGTTCCACACTGAGAGAGACTACCCTCTGTTCTGCCCTGTGCTCTGTATTTTTTAACTATACTTACTGAGAGTACTAAACTTTTTTTTTTTTGATGGAGTTTCGCTCTTGTTGCCCAGGCTGGAGTGCAATGGCATGATCTTGGCTCACTGCAGCCTCCACCTACCAGGTTCAAGCGATTCTCCTGCCTCAGCTTCCCAAGTAGCTGGGATTACAGGCATGGGCCACCACAGCCGACCAATTTTGTATTTTTTTAGTAGAGACAAGGTTTCACCATGTTGGTCAAGCTGGTCTTGAACTCTTGACCTCAGGTGATCCTCCTGCCTCGGCCTCCCAAAGTGCTGGGATTACAGGCATGAGCCACTGCGCCAAGCCAGAGTGTTAAACTTCTATGAACACATGTATGTCGGTCTCCACTCCAGTCTATGAATTGGTCCATACCATGGTCACTTGTGGCTCTCCAGCATCTTGCACATATAAGTCTAATACTCCCAGATAGGTAAATAATACACCAAACGTGAAAATGCTCAGTAAGCAGTAGGTTACAGTAGACATTAAAATGTAGAATTACCAAGATAGGTAAAATAAGTACCTAATGACTGAATTTAACAACCTTCCAAGGGTATTTTAGGACAGATAATAGTGAATTTATCCACAAGCAGTTACTGTTATTCTTTATAGTTAAAAAAAAAGAGTAATGTAATTGATTTGAATTCAAACATACGGTACACTAGTTATTACTCTTTTGAGAATGAGATTTTTAGTATATTAATTAAATATTTAAAATATTAAATATTAATACGTCAATTTTAATATATTTAATTTAATCAATTAAATTTTTAATATAATGTATTATATTAATAACATTAATATATTAAATTTAAAATATTCTACCTGCCCATGTTGGATCTTTTTGGATGTTTGCATATTAATATTTCTAAAATATTCTGTAATCATCAGTGCACATATATAAACTCAATATTCTGGATATGCTGATGTCCATTATATTTTTTAACAGGGTTCTAATTATAAAGAAAAGATACCGCATGAAATTACTTTTTAAATGTTTCCATTCCAAATTACTACTGGAAGGAAGCTGTCTTTCCCCTGTTAATCTGTCGGAGACCACCTTTTGCAATCTAATTTGTATCTACATTTTTAAAGTAAGAGAAAAAAAATTTAATTATAAAGAATTTTAAAACTTCTTTTTTTACCTTTGTTTTACAGCAATTATCACAAGAAACATCTGGGTGTTTCTTACAAAAATCAGGATTAAATCCATTTTCACCAAAGTAGGCCAAAAGCTGTATTCTCCTGCATTCCGTTATATTTTCACAGTAATGTACCATGCTATACAAATTATTGAAGTGAGTTTCTCTTGTATGATGGTTTCCATCTTTTTCCACTAAAAGAGATGAAGACTATAGTAAGACATACTTATAGGGGAAAAATAGAGCATATCATAGAAATATTTAGAATAGATTCATATAACTTTAAATATTAAATAAGAAAATTACTGTTAACAGCATTGTCAACATGGCATTCTATATTATAATTAACTGAGTATTAATGTTCATCCTCAAGATTTTAGTACTATAGGAATAAATGTTAGGTTTTTTTTTTTCAAATCTTCATTATCCCCAATGATGATGGTTTGACTTATATTTGCTGTATTTATCAGTCGAGCATCCACCGAACTGAACATCCTGAGGAAGCAGAGCCTGAGATTACGGCAGTGGCCATGCACTTCTCTGAGTATCTGAGGTCAAAGTAGTTACACCAGTGGTTCCAAAATTGTGTGCCAACAAGCCCGGGGGTGCTGTGGTGAACTCACAGAGACAGAATATTTTACATGAAGGGAAACACAGCAATGCCTAACATCTGTTGAACATCACCCAAATTATTAGCTTGAGGTAGTTAATGGTATTAACATTAGATTGTGCTACATTCCTATTAGCAATATCTCATCTTTGCAAAGCTGGGTTTTTCGCAGTTGCTATGATAAAAAGAAGTATCTCAAGAAAATCAATGTGAAACAGGAAATGAGGGTGGCAGTGTCGGATTTGATTCCAATGTGTGAGAACAGCAGTGGCATACTTTCCATCAGTAAGCAACTGTTGTTACTTAAGAATTTTAACACCAGGTACGGTGGCTCACGCCTGTAATCCTAGCACTTTGGGAGGCCAAGGTGGGCGGATCACCTGAGGTCGGGAGCTTGAGACCAGCCTGGCCAACATGGCAAAACCCTGTCTCTGCTAAGAATACAAAAATTAGCTGGGTGTGGTGGTGCGAGCCTGTAATCCCTGCTAGTCGGGAGGCTGAGGCTGAGAATCGCTTGAACCCAGGAGGTGGAGGTTGTAGTGAGCTGAGATCGTGCCATCACACTCCAGCCTGGGTGACAAAAGCGCAACTCCGTCTCAAAAAAAAAAAAAAGAAAATAATTTTTAAAAAATATTATTTTTTTCTTCCAGTTTATGAGTATTTTTCCCCCAAATAGTTGCTGCTATCAGGACTTAAATATCTATTAAATTGTTTGGGCCTAAATTTTTTTTTTTTTTGGCCTCGGCCTCCCAAAGTGCTGGGATTACAGGTGTGAGCCACCATGCCTGGCCATGTTTGGGCCTAGCTTTAATATAGATTTTAAAAAAAACACAAATGGGCAAACCAAGTGTAAATATTTAATTTTCTTCACTGAGAATCACTTTGGTATAGTGCAAGGAACATGGACTTTGGAATCAGACGAACTTGGGTTCTGTCAGGGCTCTACCATTTACTAGTTCTGCATTTCATTTTCCTCCTCTGTAAAATGAGGAAAGCAAAGGTTTTATCTCTGAGGGTTATTGTGAAGATGAAATTAGTTGATGATACATGTAAGGCATTTAGAATGGCACATAGGAAGGGCTAAATAAACACTTATCTATAATAATTACCATTGTTATACTACTACTACAACGACTCTTATTGCTCCTGCCATATCAGTGATCCTGGGGAAAAGTTACAAAACCTTTCCGAAGCTCACTTTTTATGGGAGTACCTCTACATCACAAGTTAGTTGTTTTGAACAAATAAGGTAATGAGGTGATATATGCAGTGTTGGGCACAGTGCTTGGTAAGTGCCATTTCCTATGCACTGTACTTCTGCCAGAGTTAATTTAAAAGTGGTCTCGGCTGGGCATAGTGGCTCACGCCTGTAATCCCAGAACTTTGGGAGGCTGAGGCGGACAGATCACTGGAGGTCAGGAGTTCAAGACCAGCCTGGCCAACATGGTGAAACCCTGTCTCTACTAAAAATACAAAAATTAGCTGGGTGTGGTGGTGGGAGCCTGTAATCCCAGCTACTCAGGAGGCTGAGGCAGGAGAACTGCTTGCATCTGGGAGGCAGAGGTTGCAGTGGGCCGAGATCGTGCCATTGCATTCCAGCCTTTGCACTTCAGCCTAGGCAACAAGAGCGAGACTCCGTCTCAAAAAAAAAAAAAAGAAAAAAAAAAGTGGTCTCAGAAGAAATACATATATTTAGGAAATATATTTAACTCTCACAACCCAGGAGAAAAATGAGCAAAGAATGTAATAAAATTCTAAAATATGTATTCACTTTCACCCAGCAAGTTTAACTCTAGAAATTTATCCTATAAGGCCGGGCGTGGTGGCTCACACCTGTAATCCCAACACTTTGGGAGGCTGAGGTGGGCGGATCACCTGAGGTCAGGAGTTTGAGACCAGCCTGGACACCATGGTGAAATCCCTGTCTCTACTAAAAATACAAAAATTAGTTGGGCATGGTAGCACATGCCTGTAGTCCCAGCTACTCTGGAAGCTGAAGTGAGAAAATCGCTTGAACCCGGGAGGCGGAGGTTGCAGTGAGCCAAGATTCTGCCACTGCACTGCAGCCTGGGTGACAGAGTGAGACTCGGTCTTGAAAAAAAAAAAATCTTATATAAGTAACTGCAAAAATGCCCAAAGATATTTGTATAGGGAGGGATGTTCAATACTGCATTGTTGATAACAGTGAAAAACAATAAACAAGATCTAGTAAGAGGGGATTAGTTTAATAACCATGGAATAACCATACTACGGAATTCTAGGTAGTCAGGCTGTATGTATTCATTGGAATGATAATTACATCCTACTGTTGACTGAAAAAAATCGGGTCATTATATATATAAAGTATGTATAATATAATCCCATTTACATTTTAAAATATGTGCATTTGGAAAAGGTACATACCAAATACAAGATATTTGCCTGCCTCTAATGGGAGAGGACGGATGAGACAAGAGAGGCTATGGGGTGGTGGGGAGGGGTTCAGCTCGATTGATTGTGTTTTATTTCTTAATCCAGATGGTAGTATATGACAGCTCATTATTTTCTCCTTTTTATCTTCCTGCATGTTTGAAATATGTGTTACATGCAAGAATGCATGCAGAAATAGGGTCTGAAAGGATACAAAGGAAACCAATAACTAGAGTTATTTTGGGGGCAAAACTACAAGGCATGGTTTGTAAATTTTCTGCCTTGTACACATCTGTATCATTTGAGTTTTACAAAATAAGCACTTACCACTTTTATAATAAAAATGAACTAAAATAAAATTGCCAATCTGTATAAACTCCTCTATTTTTCTACGATTATTTAAGGAAAACTGGACCAGAAGTACCACAATAGCAGGAGTAGACTACTATCATGAGGCTGAAGATGACAGAATGTCTCTACAATGGAGCCCAGCTTACTCATTATAAGTCTTTTCAGTCTGGTCACATCATGATAGGTATAGAAAAGCAGGCAGTGAGATATTTCCCCATCTCTTCCAGCTCTGCCAGATTCTTGGTAGTAACCCTCCACAGATTTAGGGAGAGATGCATGAATCACAAATCGCACGTCCGGTTTGTCAATCCCCATTCCAAATGCAATTGTAGCACAGATAACCTGATATAAAAGCAAAAGCTTATTAGATTCATAAGGCACAGACTTGAAGGAACATTTTCATAATAGATGCTTCTAAAAGCTCTATCATTTGTTTTACTTTAAAATGCACACTACATAACAACCTAATATCTTAACTTGGTCCAACTATTTAGTATAACTAATATGAGTTTTTATACTGATAACTTGCAATGCCATTAAAACCCAAGAAGGTAAAGAGAAGCTCAGCATGGCAGGCACTTTCTTGTATGACTTGGCATTCTCATGTAAGAGAGCCAGAATCAACTGCAGTCAGCCCACGATGTGCTGCCACTGTTCTCTGTTTTTGCTACTGAGGTGTGGGGGGTGTTGCTCACACAGTCATGATATCCAGGTCAGTGATCACAAGCAACGTGTTGCTCAGGAGCTCCAGGGTGTTCCCAGGGCTCCTCAGAGGTCACTGCTGCTAGTTCCTCCAATGGTTCAGGAACAATACGTTCTTACCTGCTCCACTGCTTATCATCAGTTTTCCCAATAGCACCAGCTGATCACACATCAACTCCTTCTATTCATCAGCTGATTTAAAGTCAAAGCTTGTACAATTTTAATGGAAACTCATGTGGGTAAAAGTCTGAGAGCTACTTATACCAAAAAAAAAAAAAAAAAAAAAAAAAAAAAAAAAAAACACCAGGGACTGCGGATCTTAGACCTTACAAATTACTTAGTGGAAGCAAGGTGATAGTTCACTCTCAGGAGCTTGATAAATCAGTTTTCAAGGATATCCATTTCAGTTGAGAATTTAGGAGCTATTTAACCCAGACCAAAATGTTATATCTCCAGGCAAAATTACACTTCACAAATAAAACTGCAAGTTTTTTTTTAGCACTTAAAAAAATGAATTGCTACTGCAAGAACAGTATTTCAAAGGCATCTGAAATATCTGGCAGGCAGACTGAGACTAATGACATGATTTCAGTAACTGTGAGTACCAGCGGAAGGAACTGCAAGCTCTGGAGTATGTGGACAGTAAAGGGGTACATTTATCAACACCAGGAATGGCGGTGAGTGGCCTGCGCTCTCGGTTAGTCATCCATCTACATTTATGGCACTCTGATCAAAGGCAAATCTCCTTGGAAACAGAAAGACTATTGTAGCTTCTAGTGATGGAGAGCAGGTGGAGAAGCTGCACAGCAAGATGTGTCAGCCGACAGGTCCGGAAGCATGACCCACAGGGTTCCATGAAGTCCAGGTGCATCTCCCAGTATCAGGGCGGGCACAGGGCTGTGAGGCACCGCCTGCAGCCTCCAGATGAGGATGCAAGGCTGCCAACTCTTTCTGAAAGCTCTTATTTCTTGAAATTGGGAAAAGTGGCTTTGTTTAATTGTGATTTCCTTCTTTATTTCTGCGCTTTTAAAACTTCAAGCCACAATCATTCTTTGTGAAGAATAATGGCCAAGTTTTATTCTATCTCATGAATCTAACGAGATCAAGTCTGTCGAGCTGGTGTAGGCTAATATTACATGCTGACTGTAAGGATTAATTAGTCTGAGAGCAGAAATAATTAGGTTTTTATAAACCCCTATTGTTTAACCATATTTTTTATCAAAGTTATATATATATATATATATATCTCCATTGTAGATTATTTATACTATACATAACCATTTAAAGCACTTGAAAAAAATCATTTTTTTTTTTTTTTGAGACAGTCTCGGTCTGTTGCCCAGGCTGGAATGCAGTGGCGTGATTTTGGCTCACTGCAACCTCCACCTCCAGGGTTCAAGCTATTCTCCTGCCTCAGACTCCCGAGAAGCTGGGACTACAGGTGTGCACCAGCATGCCAGGCTAATTTTTGTATTTTTTGTAGAGATGGGGTTTCGCCATGTTGCCTGGGCTGGTCTTGAACTCCTAGGCTCAAGTGATCTTCCCACCTTGGCCTCCCAAAGTGCTGGGATTACAGGTGTGAACCACCATGCCTGGCCCTTTCATGCAAACTTTTTCCTTATCATGTATTGTTTTTACATGTTTTCCTGTTCCACTGATCTGCCTATAATGTACTGCAAACTAGTGTTCCTGTATTATTAGGTTTTTTGCCAAACTCTCTTAGTTATTTTCACTTGAATATTCTTCCAGGCAAACTTTAGAAAAAGTTTATCAAAGGGAAAAGAACAAAAAACCAAAAAAAAAAAAAAAAAAAAAAACAAAACACTGGCATTTGGGTTAAATATATAAACTAATTTGGGAAGACTAAAATCAGTATTTCAGTGAAGACAAATGAGTGATGTATTTCTAAACTTTTTGCATATCTGAAAATGACCTTTTGTTGGTTTCAACATAAATGACAGTGAGCTGGGTACGAAATTCTTCAGTCCCAGTCTTCCTTCTTCCAATTCTGAAGACAGTCTTCTATTATTTTTGTTATATATTTGTTATGTATTTATTTATAACACACTTATCTGTTTCAATTATCCTGCTTTCTTGCTTGGGTACACTTACTATTCTTAGGCTGAATCCTTACCTCCTTTTGTCAACAAAGATAATTTCCACCCCACCCCATTTTAATCTCTTTTTTCCCTTGCATTCTCAAGCTACTCACTACATCACTGATTCTATTGTCTCCACTGAGACTGAGTCATTCCATTTGTGTCTTAATATATAATTCTGCTCTTAGTTTTGTTTTTCTTACTTGGATAAGCTGAATTTTTCTTTCTTTTTTTTTTTTTGACATAGAGTCTTGTTCTGTTTCCCAGGCTGGAGTACAGTGGCACGATCTCGGCTCACTGCAACCTTCGGCTCCCAGGTTCAAGTGATTCCCCTGCCTCAGCCTCCTGAGTAGCTGGGACTACAGATGCCCATCACCACGTCCGGCTAATTTTTGTATTTTTAGTAGAGACAGGGTTTCACCATATTGGCCAGGCTGGTCTCAAACTCCTTGATCTCAGGTGATCCGTCCACATCGGCCTCTCAAAGTGGTGGGATTACAGGGGTGAGCCACTGCACCTGGCCATAAACTGGATTTTTATTTCTCCCTTCATCTCACCCTGTGATCTTATGGAAGTTGTTACTAGTTCACGTATATTAAGTCTTCTTATATCTTTCTCGGGATACTAAACTGATATCCTCTAAAATTTTCTGTTTTCCCAGAGAAAACAATTTTGAGAGATATTTTTCCTCTGAATCTTCAAAGTAAATACTTTTTCCTGAGCTGAAACTTTTCATTGGCTCCAAGTAATTATTAGTTGTTTTGCTGAAATTCATCCTTTCATTTAGAGGGATCTATCCAAGGCTGGCATTTACCACAATAAGAGATGCCTAAAGTAGGCTGGGTGCGGTGGCTCACGCCTGTAATCCCAGCATTTTGGGAGGCCGAGGCGGGCGGATCACGAGGTCAGGAGATCGAGACCCTCCTGGCTAACGTGGTGAAACCCTCGTCTCTACTAAACATACAAAAAAAAATTAGCCGGGCGTGGTGGCGGGTGCCTATAGTCCCAGCTACTCGGGAGGCTGAGGCAGGAGAATGGCGTGAACCCGAGAGGCGGAGCTTGCAGTGAGCTGAGATCGCGCCACTGCACTCCAGCCTGGGCGACAGAGTGAGACTCCCGTCTCAAAAAAAAAAAAAAAAAAAAAAAAAAAAAAGAGATGCCTAAAGTATTTTCAGCTTTCCTCCCCACCCACCTGGGTGACGGCAAATTTCTCATCTCGGAAACAGATGCCCAATATTGTTAGTTACTAGGGAAATGCAAATCAAAACCACAAAGAGGGCCAGGCGTGGTGGCTCACACCTGTCATCCCAGCACTTTGGGGGGCTGAGGTGGGCGGATCATGAGGTCAGGAGTTCACGACCAGCCTGGCCAATATGGTGAAACCCTGTCTCTACTAAAAATACAAAAATAAGCTGGGTGTGGTGGCATGTGCCTATAGTCCCGGCTACTTGGGAGGCTGAGGCAGGAGAATTGCTTGAACCAGGAGGCGGAAGTTCCAGTGAGCCAAGATTGCGCCACTGCACTCCAGCCTGGGTGACGTGAATTCCTTGCTTGAATTATTCACGTGTGTGGTCTTCCATGTAAATAAAAAAAAACCCACAAAGAGATACCATTTCCCACACACAAGGATGAATACATTAAAAAAGCTGGACAATAAAAAATATTGGTGAAGACGTGGAGACACTGGCACCTCATACATTGCTGGTGAGAATGCAGAACTGCAGAGCCACTTTGAAAAGCAGTTTCACAGTTCCTCTAAAAGTTAAACAAAGAGTTGCCATTTGACCCAGCAAGTCCACTCCCAGGTGTCTACCCAAGAGAACTGAAAACATATGTCCGTGGAAAAACTTGTACGTGAATGCTCACAAAGCCATTATTCATAGTAGCCAAGAAGTAGAAACACATCGGGGATGGTGGCTCACACCTATAATCGCAGGAATTTGGTAGGTTGAGGCAGGATTATCACTTGAGCCCAGGAGTTCAAGACCAGGCTGGGCAACACAGGGAGACCTCGTCTATACAAAAAATAAAAAAATTAGCCAGGCATAGTGGTGCGCCTGTCGTCCTAGCTACTTGGGAAGTGGGAGGATTGTTTGAGGTACGGTCTGCAGTGAGCAGAGATCATGCCATTGCACTCTAGCCTGAATGAAAGAGTAAGACCCTGTCTCAAAAAAAAAAAAAAAAAAAAAAAGAAAGAAACGAAACAAGCCAAATGTCTAACCAGCTGATGAGTAGATAAACAAACTGTGTTATATCCATATAACAGAATATTATCTGACCATAAAAAGGTATGAAGTACTCATATATCCTAAAATATGGATAAATCTTGAAAAAATTATGCTAAATAAAAGCAAACAGGCCAGGCGAGGTGGCTCATGCCTATAATCCCAGCACTTTGGGAGGCTGAGGCAGGTGGATCACTTGAGGCCAGGAGTTCGAGACCAGTTTGAGTCTCCACTAAAAATATTAAATACAAAAATCAGCTGGCCATGGTGGCGCACATCTGTAATCCCATCTACTCAGGAGGCTGAGGCAGGAGAATCACTTGAACCTGGGAGGCGGAGGTTGCAGTAAGCGAAGATCTCTCTACTGCACTGTAGTCTGGGCGACAGAGTGAGACTCTGTCTCCGGAAAAAAAAAAAAAAAAGAAAAGTCACAAAGACCACATACTGTATGATTCTATTTACATGCAATGTACAGAGTAATAAACTCTAGAAACAGGTTAGCAGTAGTTAGTAGATTTGTGGTTTCCAGGCATTAGGGGGTGGGGGAAGTGACTGGGTATGAGGTTTCTTTTTATGGTGATCAAAAATTCTGGAATTAGATAGAGATGATTATTGTACAACTTTGCAAATAAACTAAAAAGTACTAACTTGTTTGCTTTGAAAGGATAAATTTTATGATATGTGAATTATATCTCAAGCAGATTTTTTTTATGAAAGAAAAAGCAACTTTAGAAGTCTCAAAGAAAATCTGTTTTTTAAATTTCAGTCTTATTTTGATGTTTACTACCTTCAAGGTAAAAACAGTTTGCATTCTACATGTGCATGTTTGGTTATATGCTATAAAAGATTATTTCTATTATTTGTTTATCTTTAAAAATGTTACCTGACAGCCATCCTGATTAATCCACTTCTGCTGCACTTCATCTCTGGCAGAATCACTGAGGCCAGCATGGTAAGCAAGAGCAGCGAGCCCATCTCTCTGTAACGTGTCAGCCATGGTGTCACATTCTCGCCTGGAGAGGCAGTAAATTATCCCTGAATCATCTGCCAAGAAACCAAGAGTACTGAGAAACAAGAATTTTTAACATAAACAAAAACACAATTTACACTACATTTTCAGAAATATATGAACCATAAATAGATCTCCCGTAGTGTTCTTATACTGCTGGAAGACCACACACGTGAATAATTCAAGCAAGGAATTCATGTGTGCTGGAAATGAGATGTGGCTTTTAATCCTGTCGCTGCTAATGACTCGTGAGGTGGACCTGGATGAACTCTGGGCTCTACTTCACACTAGATACATGTGGGTATAAAAAAGCCATCCTTGGCCGGGCGCGGTGGCTCATGCCTGTAATCCCAGCACTTTGGGAGGCCAAGGAGGGCAGATCATTTGAGGTCGGGAGTTCGAGACCAGCCTGGACATCATGGTGAAAAGCTATCTTCACTAAAAATACAAAAAAAATCAGCCAGGTGTGGTGGTGGGCACCTGTAATCCCAGCTAGTCAGGAGGCTGAGGCAGGAGAATCACTTTAACCCAGGAGGTAGAGGTTGCAGTGAGCCGAGATCGCACCACCGCACTCCTGCCTGGAGATAGAGTGAGACTCAGCCTCAAAAAAAAAAAAAAAAAAAAAAAAGAAAAGCCATTCTTGCACAAACTTTGTCAAAAGCATATGGCAGTATGTATCAAGAGTCTTAGAAATACCTTTGACTCAGTTTCTTTCTGGGAAATTAGGAAATAAAGTGATACAAGGACATAAACAAAAGTTTTACTTCAAACTTTAAAAATTACAAAGATTTTACTGAGCAACATTAGGGAAACAAATACAGGGAACTGTGAAATAAAATATACTATAACTATCAAAAGTGTTTTCTAAGTTTTTAAAAGACATGGGAAAATGCTCATGATATATAAAGTAGATTAACGGTAGAAACGTATATAGTATGCTAGTAGAAAAAAATGCATAGAAAAATACTAGAAATTAATAATAACATAACAGTGATTTTGCTCATTGAGTGATGTTTGTCTTTTGTTTCTTCTTTTTGTTGCTTTCTAAATTTTCTTTTTTGTTTTTTGAGACAGTCTTGCTCTGTCGCCCAGGCCGGAGTGCAGTGGCACGATCTCAACTCACTGCAACCTCTGCCTCCCGGGTTCAAGCAGTTCTTCTGCCTCAGCCTCCAGAATAGCTGGAATTACAGGTGCGTGCCACCACGTCTGGATAATTTTTGTAGAGATGGGGTTTCACCGTTTTGGCCAGGCTGGTCTTGAAATCCTGACCTCAAGTGATTCACCCACCTCGGCCTCCCAAAATGCTGAGATTACAGGCGTGAACCACAGTGCCTGGCCATATAAATTTTCTTTAATGAGCATATATTATATTTATTATTATGTGTGTTATTTTTAGAAATGGAAATTAAAAGATATTAAAGGAAAAGTCATCTCTCTGTGACTGAGCCAAAGGTCTAGATATACACATGAAGCTATTGACATTAGCTGCCTGGGGGAGGTGAGTCTGAGCGGGGAAATCACTGACTTTTTCTTGGTAGATCTCTACTGACTGATTTGTCCACACAAATATGTATACTAATTTCTAAAAAATAAAATAGAAATACCAAAAATATTCTCCATGGAAAAGTGGAAAGGGGGTTACATGGAAAACTACTATGAATTTCAGAATCTCATTTTAGTTAACATAATGCAAAGGCAGACAGGCTTGGGACAAGGCACTAAAACAAAAAGCTGTATAATTCAAACACTGATAGAAGCCTGAGGAAAGACATTGAAACCAAAAGTTATAATATACGTGTGTAGGAGGGAGTATTTAATATATTTTTGTTAGAATTTATTGTTATTAAACCAAATGAGATTTTATAATTTCCAGAATTGAGAGAGTTGCAATAGTCTGCTCTATAAAGAGCAAGTTAGTGCTGTCATAATGCAAAAAGGAATGTTTAATATGCAATTTTATATATCTTATTGTGGTACTAAAAAGACATTTGTTACTTCTAGACAGCTAATCACATGGCTGTACTCACATGGGTGGTGCTTTCTGATCCATTCTAGGCAATCAAATGCCACCTTTTTAGGCTTTTTCGGTAATACATAGTATTTCAGATTATGTCTGTTAAAGCTCATGCTAAACCTAAAAAAGTCCCAAACATAAAATTTAGTTATTATGAGAAAATATGACTTTAGGTATTGTTATAGACTACATGTGTCCCCCCTAAAATCCTAACCCCCAGTGTGATGGTATTAGGAGTTGGAGCCTCCGGGAGATAATTAGGTCATGAGGGGTGGAGTTATGAATGAGATAAGTGCTCAAAAATAAGTAGAGACCTTGCTGGCTCTCCCCACCCGCATATGTCAGTATGCAAAGAGAATACTACCACTTGCAAACCAGGAAGAGGGACTTCATCTGACTTGGGATCTGCCAGCATCTTGATCTTGGACTTCCTGGCTTTCAGAACCAAGAGAAATAAATTTCTGTTGTTTAAGCCACCCAGTCTACAGTATTCTGTCATAGCAGCCCAAGCTAATATCAAGTAGTTTTTGTTTTGTTTTGTTTTGTTTTTTTTTGAGACAGAGTCTCACTCTGTCGCCCAGGCTGGAGTGCAGTGGCACAATCTTGGCTCACTACAACCTCTGCCTGCTGGGTTCAAGCCATTCTCCTGCCTCAGCCTCCCAAGTAGCTGGGATTATGGATGCCCACCATCGCGCCCAGCTAATTTTTGTATTTTTAGTAGAGACAGAGTTTCACCATGTTGGCCAGGCTGGTCTCGAACTCCTGACCTCAAGCAATCCACTTGCCTTGGCCTCCCAAAGTGCTGGGATTACAGGCATGAGCCACCGGGCCCAGCCTACCAAGTAGTCTTAAGTTGAATATTGTCGCTAGCAGCTTACACAATAGAACACTGAAATGGAAGTAAGGCTAAGGGTTAAAGAAAAGAATGGTGATAAAGAGGGAATGTTTATGGGACTAGATGACAAAAAATTAGGATTGTGGAAGAGAAAACATATAGAAAGACAAAGTAAGTCAGGAGCCCAGTCTCTTGACTCCAAGATGAGGCTGACTAAAAGCAGAGATGGTTAGAACATTATTTAAAATATTAAGGAAATCACACAGGAAATATACGTATTTTTAGGCCATCAATGTTCCCAAATTTTGACCAGGTACTCAAGCTCATCCAACCCGCAGCCCACGGGCCACATGCAGCCCAGGATGGTTTTGAATGTGGTCCAACACAAATTCATAAGCTCTCTTAAAACAGTGAGATTTTTTATGATTCTTTTATAAAGCTCATCAGCTATTGTTACTGTTAGTGTATTATTATTTTTTTGAGAGGGAGTCTCGCGCTTGTCACCCAGGCTGGAGTGCAAGGGTGCGATCTTGGCTCACTGCAACCTCTACCTCCTGGGTTCAAGCAATTCTCCTGCCTCAGCCTCCTGAATAGCTGGAATTACAGGTGCCCGCCACCACACCCAGCTCATTTTTGTTATTTTTAGTAGAGATGGGGTTTCACCATGTTGGCCAGGCTGGTCTCAAACTCCTGACCTCAGGTGATCTGCCCACCTTGGCCTCTCAAAGTGCTGGGATTACAGGTGTGAGCCACCATACCCGGCCAGTTAGTGTATTTTATGTGTGGTCCAAGACAATCGTTCTTCTTCTAGTATGGCCCAGGGAAGCCAAAAGATTGGACACCCCAGGATACATAAAAAGCTAACTGCAGGACAGCAGAAGGAGTTAAAGCCCTACTGATTACAGTCACTTTATTTTTGTTCTTGGCCCCAAATAAAATGTGGCTGACTCTGAGACAGATGTGCTCCTCCTCTTCCTCTGGTCTACTATTCTTGCCCCATTTCCTCCCGCCCACTTCCTCAGTGAGCTTGTTCTCTCCATTATCTCCTCTCTTGTCTTTTCAGTCTGTTCTGTGAATCTTAAACAAATTCAGACCCTCAATTTTCACATCCCTTGGTTTCCCATGGGGGATTGGTTCTAGGGCCTCCTCGGATACCTAAATCCAAGGATGCTCAAGTCCCTGATATAAAATGGTGTAGTATATGTATATAACCTATGCACATCCTCCTGCACACTTTAAACCATCTCTAGATTACTTATAATACTCAATACAATGTATTAAATAAATGCCATGTAAATAGTTGCTACACTGTACTGTCAGTAACTATGTGACATTTTTCTTCTGTCCTGGCGGGAGGATACAGCAGAGTATGCCTACACATCACTTCATTCATGTGGACACAGCATAGCGCTTGGTGCTCAGCAAATTCAAATCTTGCTTTTTGAAACTTTCAGAAACTATTTTTCTTTCAAATGTTTTTGATATACAGTTGGGTGAATCTGCAGATGCAGAAACTGCAGATAGGAAGGGCTGGCTGTCCTTTTTCATAAGACTGATCTGAGAATGCTCCCACAGACAAGAAATTCTGGCCAGGGGTGGTGGCTCACATCAATAATCTCAACATTTTGGAAGGCCAAGGCAGGAGGATCACTTGAGCCCAGGAATTCAAGACCAGTTGGGCAACAAAGTGAGACCCTCGTCTCTAATTAGAAAAAAGACATCCTGGACGGGCGCGGTGGCTCACGCCTGTAATCCCAGCACTTTGGGAGGCCAAGGCGGGCAGATCATGAGATCTGGAGTTTGAAACCAGCCTAACCAACATGGTGAAACCCTGTCTCTACTAAAAATACAAAAACTAGCCAGGCATGGTGGCACGTGCCTGTAATTCCAGCTACTCAGGAGGCTGAGGCAGGAGAATCGCTTGAACCTGAGAGGCGGAGGTTGCAGTGAGCCGACATCACACCACTGCACTCCAGCCTGGGCGAAGAGTGAGACTCTGTCTAAAAAGAAAAAAAAAAAAAAAAAGACATCCTGCTTGTTTCGCCTTTCCCATTTTTCCCTTTTACGATTGCCTCACTTCCTGAAAACAAACAAACCAATCCTACTTTTCATCCATTCTGAATTTTACCACTGTGCACTGTTCCAGGATGTAAAAACCTCCAGGACACCAAACAAAGCAAACTGAAAAATAGTATGAGTGTAGGTGAAATTTTCTTTAATTAAAGCACTAGAAATCCTTGGTAGGAGGGCCTCATATCTTTCGGTGTTTTACTTATTTCTGTTAAGGGTGAAGAATAACTAGGAACAAAGTATTTTGGTCCTTATTAGGATGTTCTGATTTCAGATATACTGAGAATAAGGTGGTGGGAATGAAGATGACCTTCACTTTATGATGTTGTTTCTTTCATCTCTATAATCACAGAATGCATTACCCTGAAAGTCTTTGAGACTACCGTTAAACAATACTTTGATACCACCACTCTTATGACAGCATTTCTTTGCAAAAAACTCCTAGAGTCCTTTTAGTGCTTGAAAAGGCAGAATGTGTAGCAGATTGTGGCAAAAAAGGTAGTAGATTAAAGAATTGTCTAGGAATACAAATGATGAAGAAAATCTTAAAATGCATTTGAGTTGATTTGGGCTTAAGTTGGAAACGGTGCATGAGTCTCTCCACCGATAGGAATGCTATGGTGACTGGGCATAACAATGGCCTTATTGCTTTTTCCCACATTAAAAAAATATATTTATTTTCAGAAAAGTGTTTTATTAATTTAAAAAAATCTTTGGGTCAAAAAGAGAGACAAAAACAAGTGTTGGTGAGGATATGAAAAAATTAGAACCCTCATACATCGCTAGTGAAAATGTAAAATGGCACAGCCACTTTGGAAAACAGTGCGACAGTTCTTTAAAACGTTAAACATAGGCTGGGCACGGTGGCTCATGCCTGTAATTCCAGCACTTTGGGAGGCTGAGTTGGGCGGATCATGAGGTCAGGAGTTCAAGACCAGCCTGGCCAATATGGGGAAACCCCCATCTCTACTAAAAATACGAAAATTAGCTGGGCGTGGTGGCGCACACCTGTAGTCTCAGCTACTCAGGAAGCTGAGGCAGAAGAATCACTTGAACCTGGGAGGTGGAGGTTGCAGTGAGCCAAGATCGCACCACTGCACTCCAGCCTGGGCTACAGAGTGAGACTCCGTCTCAAAAAAAAAAAAAAGAAAGGGTTAAACATAGAGTTTCTATATGACCCAATAATTTCACTCCTGGGCATATACCTAAGAGAAATGAAAACATATGTCCACACAAAAATTTATACATGTATGATTATACCAGCATTATTCATAATAGTAAAAAATAAAAATGGAAACAACCCAATATCAACTGATGAATAAAATGTCGTAGACGTCTACAATGGAATATTATTCACCAATAAACCGTGAAAACATTATGCTAAGTAGACAGTCACAAAAAAGATCACATATTGGATGATTCTATTTACACGAGATACCCAGAGTAGGCAAATCTATACATAGAAAGCAGATTAGTGGTTGCCTAGGGCTGGCAGGATGGGGATGTGAGGGGAAAAGGAGATTGAACTGCAATGGGCATGGGTGTTTTTGGAGGGTGATGAAATGTTCTAAAACTCTGGCAATGGTTGTACAATTCTGAATATACTAAAAACTTTGAATTGTACTTTTTAAATATGGGAATTGTATGGTATGTGGATTATACCGCAACAAAGCTGTTACTAAAAACATCTGGCACATAATCTGAATTTCTTAAAATTTGTAGACACAATTGAAAAAGCTCAGAACTGTTTACCAGTTAATTTAGTCAAACAAATTACTTTTACTAAAAATAATAAAAATGACATGAGATTAGAACATAAAGTTGTAGATCATGAATCCAATTAAAACCAAGACAACTATCTCTACTGCAAAAGGACTGTGGGTAACTAACTGAAAGCAATATTTACACAATTTGTTATAATGAAAAAGTTAATAGACCCTTGGAGTTTATTACATGTAACAAATCTTACTCTGCCTGTTGGAAAATAAGATGTTTGGAATTACCAAATACCTAGTTACAGACAGTTCCCATCAATTGATAAATGGATAAATAAAATGCAAAATACTGATACACTGCAATATTATTCAGCTATAAAAATGAATGAAGTACTTACTGACCAATGCTACAACATGGATGACCCTTGAAAACTACGCTCAGTGAAAGAAGCCGGGCACAAACAAGAGGGAGAAGATGCGGAGCAGCTGCTAATGGGTACCAGGTTTCTCGCTGGGGTGATAAAAATGCTGTAAACTTAGATATTGGGGATGGTTGTACAATTCTGTGAAAATACAGAAAAAAAGCAACCCACTAAATTGTACCCTTTAAATGGATGAATTTTATAGTGTGTGAATTACATTTTAATAAAGTTTTCTTAAAAGTTAGATTCTACTGTTTCTTGTCTAAGGTTCTGCTGGATATTACCATTAAAATGGTAAATATTATCCTGTTTGGGGTGTCAAACTCATGTCTTTTCAAAGTGTTGTGTGAGGAAACAAAGTCAATTAGAGCTCAGCTTGTTGCTTTTGGAATTGACAATAGTTGTCATGGGATGTGTACTAAATAGTTTATGTGAATTGAAAAATGAGGCCAGGTGCAGTGGCTCACGCCTCTAATCCCAGCACTTTCAGAGGCCGAGGCGGGCAGATCACCTGAGGTCAGGAGTTTAAGACCAGCCTGCGCAATATGGTGAAACCCTGTCTCTACCAGAAATACAAAAAATTAGCTGGGCATGGTGGCGGGCGCCTGTAATCCCAGCTACTTGGGAGGCTGAGGCAGGAGAATCACTTGAATCCCGGAGGTGGAGGTTGCGGTGAGCTACTGTACTCCAGCCTGGGCAACAAGAGTGAAACTCCATTCCCCCCACCCCCCTCAAAAAAGAAAAGGAAAATGAAGCCAGCCAGGCATGGTAGTATGTGCCTGTAGTCCCAGCTACTCAGGAGGCTAGGGCAGGAACATCACTTAAGCCCAGGAGTTCAAGACCAGCCTGGGCAACATAGTGAGAGTAAGACCCCATCTCCAAAACAAAAACAAAAACAAAACAAAACAAAACAAAACCCACAAAGAAAAGAAGTCTAATTTAGCAATAAAGACTGGCTTTACCAATTAGGTTATATGGTGGTCATTTCCCATTTTTGGAAAGAGCTAATCTATAGCCACAGTTTTGACAAAACTCTATTTAAAAGTATGTCACACAATATGGTTGGGAATGGTGGCTCACGCCTGTAATCCCAGCACTTTGGGAGGCCGGGGCAGGCAGATCCTTTGAGCTCAGGAGTTCGAGACCAGTCTGGGCAACATGGTGAAACTCCGTCTCTACGAAAAAAACAACACAAACAAAAAACATAAAAATTAGCCAGGCATGGTGGTGCACGCCTGTAGTCCTGGCTACTTGGCGGGTTGAGGCAGGAGGATAAATTGAGCCTGGGAGGCAGAGGTTGCAGTGAGCCGAGATCGCACCACTGTACTTATTCCATCCTGGGTGAAAGATTGGGACTCTGTCTCAAAAAACAACAACAAAAAAGTTATTAGAAAAGCGTATCACACAATAAAAGTATTTTGTCAAAAATATCATATTGGAAAGGTATACTGAAACTAACAGTATTTTGATTTCCCCAACTCTTCCATACATATTGGATACAGGGAACAAGATTCTTGTTGAAAGAATAATAAGACTACTTAATAGTCATTAGGTAAGTATTGGTAAAGCTTTTTTTTAGGGTATTTTTCCTAGAAAAAGTAAAGTGAATAACGATTGATCTTGCTTATTTTCCCAGAGAGTTTCCAATTCTTTGCTTACCACAAATTTGAAAGACCTAATTGAGTTGTCAATTGACAGATAATTAAAAATAATTTTTGATGACTGATCATTACGTAATCTTGGCATATACATCAGAAGGAATTCAAATAATTGTTACAGCTACAAAAAATGCCTTCCATTCCCATCTACATGTTTATGTGAGCAATATTTCTTAGTGCTTACATCCATAAAAATAAGAAATATAAATGGACCCAATTCATCCAGATATGTCAACTAAGTGAACAACAAAAGTCCTAGCTGGGTGTGGACCTGTAGTCCACACTATTTAGAAGATTAAGGTGGGAGGATCACTTGAGGCCAGGAATTCCAGACTAACCCGAACAATATAACGAGACCTCATCTCTTAAACAAACAAACAAACAAAAGGCCTATCTCATTAAGAGATACATTCTCAATCAAAATGTATGCTTATGGCCGGGCGTGGTGGCTCAAGTAATCCCAGAACTTTGGGAGGCTGGGGCGGGTGGATCACCTGAGGTTAGGAGTTTGAGACCAGCCTGGCCAACATGGTGAAACCCCGTCTCTACTAAAAATAGAAAAATTAGCCGGGCATGGCGGCAAGTGCCTGTAGTCCCAGCTACTCAGGAGGCTGAGGCGGGAGAATCACTTGAACTCGGGAGGTGGAGATTGCAGAGATCGTGTCATTGCACTCCAGCCTGGGCGACAAGAGTGAAACTTGGTCTAAAATACACACACACACACACACACATATATATATAAAAAATAAAAACACACATATATATAAAATACATATATATTATATATATATTTAAAACATATATGTATATATGCAGGAGGTACATAGTTTTCCAGGATTTTTTCAGGAGGTACATGTGACCAAAGAAGGTATGAAGATGGCTATCGTGGTCATCCACTCATCCCTTAAACATCCCAGGCATCATGCATCTAAAATCAAATTTATTACTCATCTTCCTTCCTCCATTCCATTTATGGTCAATGGTTCTAGGCACCTGCCCCAGGAACTAGTATAAACTTCAACCGTATCCACTCTTCTCATTCCATTTAGTTACCATTCCTGCCCTCTCTCTTGACTCTGTTTCTTCCTTCCACTTCTGCTGTTTCCACCAGCATCATCTCTCCTCAATGACTGCAATAGGCAATAAGTTCCTGAAGGGCTGCTCTACCTCTAACTTTCTGTTCTCTCACTCATCCTCTCCTCTATTCTCTTGCCAGGGTTATCATTCATCCACACAGTTCAGATCAAGCCACTTCCCAGGTTAAAGTGCCAAAAGAATAAAGTCCAAACATTTTACCATCGTTATATGCAAGATCCTCCATGATCTGGCGTCAAGCCACCTTGTCAGGGTCATCCCTTCTCTATGTTTCTCCACTTATCCAATGGATTATTCACCATTCCTTGGGCCTGACCTGTACTTTTTTTTTTTTTTTTTGGCTGGAGTGTAGTGGCATGATCTCGGCTCACTGCAACCTCCACTTTCTGGTTTCAAGCAATTCTCCTGTCTCAGCCTCCCGAGTAGCTGCGACTATAGGTGCATGCCACCACGCCCGGCTAATTTTTGTATTTTTAGTAGAGATGGGGTTTCACCATGTTGGCCAGGCTGGTCTCCAACTCCTGACCTCAGGTGATCCACCCGCCTCGGCCACCCAAAGTGCTGGGATTACAGGCATGAGCCACCGAGCCTGGCCTGACCTGTACTTTTATAACAGAAACTTCAGCCCTGAATTTTCACTCTTTGCCTGCTAAAATGCCGTTCACCTACCACTTCATATAGCTGTAATAAAAAAAGACAGTAACAAGTGTTGATAAGCATGTGGAAAAACTGCAACCCCCACACACTGCTGAAGGTAATATAAAATGATGGAGGCGGTCGGGTGCAGTGGCTCACACCTATAAGCCCAGCACTTTGGGAGGTCGAGATGGGTGGATCACCTGAGGTCAGGAGTTTGAGAACAGCCTGGCCAACATGGTGAAACCCCATCTCTACTAAAAATACAAAATTAGAAAAATACAAAAATACAAAAATAGTCCCAGCTACTTGGGAGGCTGAGGCAGGAGAATCGCTTGAACCCAGGAGGTGGAGGTTGTAGTGAGCCGAGATTGCACCACTGCACTCCAGCCTGGGTGACAGAGTGAGACTCCGCCTCAAAAAAAAAAAAAAAAAAAAAAAAAAGACGGAGGCACTTTGAAAACTAGTTTAGTAGTCCTTGAATTGAAAAGGTTAATCATACAGTTACCACAGACCCAGCAACCCAAGAGAAATAAAACTGATGACCACAGAACAACTTCTACACAAATGTTCACAGCAGCATTATTCAAAAAAACCAAAACACTGAAACAGCTTGAACATCCATCAAATGATGAATGGGCAAATAAAACAGAAAGTAGGATCCATAAAATGGAATATTATCTGAAAATAGAAAGGAATGAAATACTGAAAACAGGCTACAACATGGAGGAACCTTAAAAACATGCTCAGTGAAAGAAGTCAGTCACAAAAGGCCACATGTTATGTGATTCCATTTATATGAAATGTCCAGAATAGGCGCAAACCTACAGAGACAGAAAGTAGATGAGGGGTTGCCTAAGAATGGGGAAAGTGAGAAAGTAGGAATTGACTGCTAATGGGTATACTCTCCCTTTCAACAGAGACAAAAATGTTCTAAAATTAGATAATGGTGATGGCTGCACAACCTTATAAACTAAAAAAAAAAAAAAAAAAAAAAAAGGCCATTGAAGTGTCAACTTTAGGTGAATTTTATGGTATGTAAATTTTATTTCAATACAGCTGTTTAAGCCTTTTTTTGTTTGTTTGTTTTTCAGATGGAGTCTCGCTCTATCACCCAGGCTGGAGTGCAGTCGTATGATCTTGGATCACTGCAACCTCCGCCTCCCAGGTACAACCAATTTTCCTGTCTCAGCCTTTCAAGTAGCTGGTATTACAGGCGCCCACCACCACACCTGGTTAATTTTTATATTTTTAGTAGAGATGGGGTTTCAACATGTTGGCCAGGCTGGTCTTCAACTCCTGACCTCAGGTGATCCGTCTCCCTTGGCCTCCCAAAGTGCTGGGATTACAGCTGTGAGCCACTGCGCTCGGCTGCTGTCTACGCTTTTATCTTTTTTTTTTTTTTTTTTTTTTTTGAGACAGTCTCGCTCTTGTTGCCCAGGCTGGGGTGCAGTGGTGCAATCTCGGCTCCCTGCAACCTCCGCCTCCCGGGTTCAAGTGATTCTCCTGCCTCAGCTTCCCCAGTAGCTGGGATTACAGGTATGCACCACCAGGCCCGGCTAGTTTTGTATTTTTAGTAGAGACGGGGTTTCTCCTTGTTGGTCAGTCTGGTCTTGAACTCGTGACCTCAGGTGATCCGCCCACCTTGGCCTCCCAAAGTGCTGGGATTACAGGCGTGAGTCACCATGCCCAACCTATGCTTTTAAATAAACTACTCCTCCTACAATGCCCAGTGCCTTTACAAAACTTGATCTGACCCCTCCTTGTAACAGCTGTTACTGGGGGTTCTAGCTTATCTTGTCTTCTTCAGTTCCTGCAGCTGTAATTTACATCTCAAATCACTGCTTTCTTCTTTCTGCAATTTGACCTAGTATTTAAAGGATTCTGAAACCAGCTATCTGGTGTTTTAAGTTCTCACTCCAACCCTTGCTAGGCATATGAAGTTATATAATCTCTTTGTGTCTCAATTTCCTCACCTGTAGAATGAGGAAAATAGGAGTACCTACCTTGCTTTTGTGTGGACAAGGAGGTAAATACACTTAAAATGACAACAGTGCCTGGCACACTGAGTAGGCTGGATATGTAAGTGTTAGCTATTATTATTGTTCTATTATAGTTAACTCTATGTGCCTGTCTCTTTGCTCTCTTCCAGTTCATATTTTAAGGCCCTAAGGAAATGGAATAAAGCCTTTTTTGTGTGCCTTATATTTCCCAAAGAGGAAGAATATTATTACAGACTGGCGGGAGGAGAGCAGCACAGGGGCTGTGGCTTCAACCTTAGGAATACCTGACTTCGCCAGGGCCACGACATAGCAGCAGTTGAGCAAATTTAATCCAAACCAGGGCCTACTGGCAGAAAAGATCAGGAAACAGAGTCCCAGAAAGTATTCCTTAAAATTTCCTACTTCCAAATGCAGAGAAGTGCCAAACACATTAAGGAGTCAA
Organism: Homo sapiens; assembly: GCF_000001405.40. Lineage (NCBI taxonomy): Eukaryota > Metazoa > Chordata > Mammalia > Primates > Hominidae > Homo > Homo sapiens. The sequence goes on along the minus strand of NC_000015.10, from coordinate 90,772,065 downwards.
CAGACATGCCTACATTTTTACATTTACCCAAATTCCTTCACATTTTTCATTTATTGATTATTACTGAGTGCCAATTATGTACCAAGTGCTGGAGACTGGAAATCCACAACCTTGCTTTCCCAGGCAGATCTCTTCCCCACAGTACTAAGAAAACAGATTCAAGGTGCCTGCCTCTAAATAAATAAATAAATATGTACACTGTTTACTCAAACATAAATCACAAATCCTATACTTACAAAAAGTCATTCAAAAGGAAAAGAAATTTTTTTTATCATTTAACTATAGGCATTTGCCATTGATGTAACTGATCTAAAAGAACAGTAGATTGCATCCGGCGTAAGAGGACAGAAGAATCTCAGCACTTAGGAAGGCTGAGATGGGAGGACTGTTTAAGCCCAGGAGTTCGAGACCAGCTTGGGTAACATGGCAACATGGTAAGACCTGTCTCCAAAAAAAAAAAAAAAAAAAAATTATAGATCAATGTAGTACTTACAGAAGTACTTACTTGCAAATAGGTTATTTATTAGAATCTAAAGTATAATATGACATCTTTTTTTTTGTTTTTTGTTTTTTGTTTTTGAGACAGGGCCTTACTCTGTTGCCCAGGCTGGAGTACAGTGGCGTGATCTTGGCTCACTGCAACCTCCGCCTCCTGGGTTCAAGCAATTCTCCTGCCTCAGCCTCCTGAGTAGCAGCGATTACAGGCGCACGCCAGTAGGCCTGGCTAATTTTTGTATTTTTAGTAGAGATGGGGTATCGCCACGTTGGCCAGGCTGGTCTCGAACTCCTGACCTTAGGCGATCCACCTGCCTCGGCCTCCCAAAGTGCTGGGATTACAGGCATGAGCCACTGCACCCAGCCTAATACGACATCTTAAATATAGCATTATAATGCATATCAATTATAGACGCAAAATATTTTTCCCCAAATTTAATACAAATACTCCTCTGCAAGTGAGATTAAATTACAATATTCCATTCCAAACTTTGTGATCACACACACAAAATTCTGAGGACTCTAAAATCCTTGCACTTGAGTATGGTCATTTGTGCTATATAACAGTGCTACTAGCAATAAAATAATTCTAGGCTGGAACCAAACAACTTAAAGGCTGGAAGAAACCCAAAATGCTTGAATTCCTTGATTTAGATCAGATAATTTAGAAGCTGCCAGTTTAACCTGCAAAAGCTTTTGTAGCTATCTTAATCACATGACCCATTCATATCCTTCATAAGGAACCTTCAGTTCTTCTCATAACCCTCTAAGAGATACTGTTGCTATTCTTACTGCTTATAATATTTATAGCACCAGCTTGTCTTTATTTTCAAATGAACAAAAGCCGTGCTTTAAAAATTCACCTCAATATCCAATTCAGTCATTACTCCTTCAGGCATACCATGTTAATGTTTACATCTGAAACTAAAGTGCACACTAATAAATCAGAAGAAAAAAATACTTTAAACTCGGCACACAACAGTTGTTAAATAAATATTTGCTGAGTGAATAAACCTACCAAAGAATCCATATCTCTACAAACTCAGGTAGAAGTATAAAATAATCCAGTACAGCCTAGATAAATATGTGGGGATTGGCCGGGCACGGTGGCTCACGCCTGTAATCCCAGCACTTTGGGAGGCCAAGGCGGGCGGATCACGAGGTCAGGAGATCGAGACCCTCCTGGCTAAGACAGTGACACCCCGTCTCTACTAAAAATACAAAAAAAATTAGCCTGGCGTGGTGGCGGGCGCCTACAGTCCCAGCTACTCGGGAGGCTAAGGTGGGAGAATGGCGTGAACCCCGGGAGGCAGAACTCGGAGTGAGCCGAGATCAGGCCACTGCACTCCAGCCTGGGCGACAGAGCGAGACTCCATCTCAAAAAAAAAAAAAAGGGGGGGGGGATTTCTTTTATAGTAGATTTTGTTACTGAAGAATTATGGATTTGGTGGCAACAAGAAGCATTTTGTTGTTGAGAAGAAAACAAAGTAAAAAAGCTATTCGACATAGTATCTGGACTATTTTCAACATCCTGGATTCAACTGGGACCTTAGGGGGAAATGACAAAGCAGGGTCATCTTTCATTTCAAGAAGTATACTCTAGGATATATGGAAGCCAAAATTAGATAAGTAAAAATTAATTTATTACTGGGACTATACCAGGGATGATAGATATGGCATGCAATTTATCCCTACTTCTAAAGTAGGTACTGAAAAGGAGTTTTAATTTCAGTAAGTGAAGAAAAGCCCTAGGACTCTGGTTCCCAAACTCTGCTGCACATTGTAATCACTTGGGGATTTTTAAAAAAATACTGGCTCTCAGCCCCAAACGTTCTGATTTAGCTGCCATCGGGTTACAACTTGGGCATGGGGGTGGGGTGGGGGTGGGGTGGTGGCGTTAAAGCGCCACAGGTGATTCTAACATGTAGCAGCTCTGGCAGTCACTGCCCCAGGGTTCTCAAATACGTGACGTGCAACAACTTACACCTGAGGTCTGAGAATCTTCAGCTGAGTCAGGATGTCCTTCTGTACCCTGGGATTAGCTGTGGCCGTAAGAGCCATCACCGGAACAGAAGGAAACTTCTGGCGAAGCATATTCATTCTTTTGTAATCTTGACGAAAATCATGTCCCCACTAGTTGGAAAAAAAAATACTGCTTTTCAGACTACTTGGAGCTTCCTTCTATAAAAAGCCAACACTGCTCAATGTATTAAGAACTACCTTATTCTTCAGTAAAATAGGAGACTCGTTCACTCAGTGTGGGTTTTTATTCAGTAAATACATATATTGTTGGTAGTATGTATTTATCGGTATTTCCGGATATAAAAAACAGTATTTACCTGACTGACACAATGTGCTTCATCAATAACAAAACGTGCCAAGAGCTTCCTCTCATAGAGATTCTCCAGAGTAGAAATGAGTCTGTTACTTGCACAGATCTAGGCCAGAAATACATTAGACATGTAAAAACACTGAAACACATCACCTCATGATTCTGTGGTCTTCAAATTCCATCACAACTTAAGCTGTATTAAAACCTCTATAAGGCCGGGTGCGGTGGCTCACGCCTGTAATCCCAGCACTTTGGGAAGCCGAGGTGGGTGGATCATCCGAGGTCGGGAGTTTGTGACCAGCCTAACCAACATGGTGAAACCCCACCTTTACTAAAAATACAAAATTAGCCGGGCGTGGTGGTGCATGCCTGTAATCCCAGCTACTCAGGAAGGCTGAGGCAGGAGAATCGCTTGAACTCGGGAGGTGGAGGTTGCAGTGAGCCAAGATCGTGCCACTGCACTCCAGCCTGGTAACAATACCGAAACTCGGTCTCGAAAAAACAAAAACAAAAACAAAAACACCTCCATATAAAATTGGTTCTTATTTCAATCTATGAAGAGAACAGCAGAAGTAATAGAAAATAGCAGATCAAATTTTAGAATGTTCACCAACATTAAGCAAACAGCTTATTTAGCAGGTTAGTGGTTCTCAAACTTTTGTCTGCTTCAAGACATCTGAGGGCCACCATACATTTACATTGGCAACAGGGTTACATATCTGGGTTATATGGATGCGTGTTGGCTGGGGGAAAAATTATATATTTTATAGCTCTCTTCATAACAGGGCCTAGAAGCAATGACATCTCAGTAGCAACGAGCACATGTAGCACTCACATCTTGACCGGGACATGTCAAAAGGACAGAGAAGCCAGCTTGAGAGAGATGTCTCACTGGTCACATGTAGGACAATTAGAACATCAAAATACTTGATAATTGAATGTAACTCATTGAATAAATTAAGAAGTCGAGTTCATGCTAGTATCAATAAATATGTGGGCTGGGCACAGTGGCTCACGCTTGTAATCCCAGCACTTTGGGAGGCCGAGGTGGGCAGATCGCCTGAGGTCAGGAGTTTGAGACCAGCCTGGCCAAGATGGTGAAACCCCATCTCTACTAAAAATACAAAAATTAGCCAGGTATCATGGCACACACCTGTATTCCTAGCTACTTGGGAGGCTGAGGCAGGAGAATCACTTGAACCCAGGTTGCAGTGAGCCGAGATTGCAGTGAGCCGAGCACTCCCACCTGGGTGACAGAGTGAGACTCTACCTCAAAAAAAAAAAAAGAAAAAAAAAGTGTAACCAACAGGAAAACTCTTCCTTATGGCAAAACACCAACTACATTTAAAAAATAATTTTATATCTATCATAGTAATAACTGATTTGGGGAAGAATCATCAATGGATACTAAAACTTGTGGGTAAAATTCTGATCACTAGCAGGGTATTTACGTAGTCTCAAAGCATCCCACAACAGGATATCTACTAATTACAAAGGCCAAAAAGAAATGAGTAACTTTACAGCGGAGAAGTCTATCAGACACTACCATAACCAAGCGATCAGTTAACTAACATTGTCAGTAATGGGACGAATCGACATCAAGTGCCTCCTGACAGTGGGCATGAGAACATATCACTGTTTCTGTGATATTCAAGGAGTAACAGGAATCTAAGCAGGAGGAAGCAAGATAAACTCAAATTGAGGGACAATTCCGAAAACGACTGGCCTTCAAAAACTTCAAAATCACGAAAGATATTAAGAGAGAGAAACTGTTTACAAGATTACAGAGAAGCACAACGGAATGCATGCATGATCTGGGATTTTCTTTTGCTATAAAGGACATTATTGGGACAACTAGTGAAACCAGAATAAGGTTTACAGATTAAGTAATAGTACTGCATCAATGTACATCTCCTAATTTTGATCATTGTACTGAGGTTATATGAGAGAATACGTTGTTTTTAGGAAATGTACAGTGAAGTACTTAGGGCTTAAAAGGATACCATGTCTGCAATTTTCAATCAAATGTGTCAGGAAAATATATGCAGAGAGAGAATACAAAGCAATTATAGTAAAATGTTACCATTTGGGGTTTCTGGATGAAAGTTGTACAAAAATTCTTTGCACTACGTATACAAAATTTTGTTAAAATCTTAAAAATATATGTATTCTAGTGGTCTTTAATATATTTTAAAATAATGATATAAATACAAACCTTTTCTGGAGTGACATATAGAAGTTTTATGATTGGGTCTTTTTTTGATAACTGGAGGTAAATATTTGTAGCTTCTGAGTCAGTCTTATCACCTGTCAGATATGTAGCTGGAATCTAAGTATAAAAGTAGTAAACAATTTCAATTTTATACATTAACCTGACAAAATTACATTTGTCCTTAGGTTTTATAAATATTTTATTAGTCACATATCAAACCTATCAAAGGAAATACATATCTCAACATAACAAGTATGTAAGTACATACATTTTAAAAAACCCTTATTAAGCATAACTCAGGCAGGGCGTGGTGGCTCACGCCTGTAATTTCAGCATTTTGGGAGGCTGAGGCAGGTGGATCACTTGGGGTCAGGAGTTCAAGACTAGCATGGCCAACACGGAGAAACCCCATCTCTACTGAAAATACAAAAATTAGCCTGGCGTGGTGGCAGGTGCCTGTAATTCCAGCTACTCAGGAGGCTAAGGCAGGAAAATTGCTGGAGCTTGGGAGGCAGAGGTTGCAGTGAGCCAAGGTTGCACCACCGCACTCCAGCCTGGGCAACAGAACAAGACTGTCTTAAAACAAAACAAAACAAAACAAAAAAAAGCATAACACAAAATGGTCTTCTCATTATTTATTTCCTTTTCTTGCTTTATTTTTCATCTTTGTAAATAAGATAAATATGAATTTGGTATACAAGATATTCCAGTCCTACTGTATGGCATCTTTTTTTTAGATAAATGTATTTCAGGGTTTTAAAGATTAATGACAATGAAGGGGCCATAATATGACAAATGGTTGAACAATGGCTACCACCACTGCACTAAGACATTCTTTGGAAGAAAACCAAACTAGTGGTCTTATTGAGGGGTGGTGACTCATAACTCTTAAAACAGTTCTTTTTAATCACAATGTGATTGAGTCGGGGTCTCGCTTTCACCAAGGCTAGATTGTAGTGGCATGATCATGACCCACTGCAGCCTCAAACTCCTGGGCTCTAGCGACCCTCTTCCCTCAGCTTCCTAAGCAGCTGGGACCACAGGTTTTCACCACCATGTCCAGCTTATTTTATTTTTCTGTAGAGAAAGTCTTGCTGTGTTGCCCAGGCTGGTCTTGAATTCTTGGCCTCAAGCAATCCTCCCACCTTTGCCTTCCAAGTCACTGGGATTACAGGCATGAGCCACCACCCCCAACTACATTGTGAAGAGTTAAGTAGAATGCATTCATTTACTTCCTTAAACTCAGCCATGAGAAAAAAAGATATATGTGTGCAGGCATGCATGTGTGTATGCACTTTAAGATATAAGGGAAAGAGAACTATGCCGACCTGGCAGTACTGAAAAAAGAAATGATTTTCTATTCGTTAAAAAAATTTACATCAGCAAAAAATAGCATTGGTTAAAAGTTCTTACTAAGATACATTCTTGTAGAATAAAAACAGATTGAACTAGAGGTTATCTGTATCAAATTTTCAGACTTCTGTTCAACTGCAAATTTAACTGCTGTGCTTTATTTTTTACAAATCACGAACTATTTAATAAAAAGGTTATCCAGAGGACTGAAATTTAATTGTTTCTAAGGCGTGTTTTTATTAGTATTTTTATAACTTACATCCAAGGAAGTCAGCTTTTGGACTTGATCTACGATAAGTGATCTCAAGGGAGAAATGACAACAGTGACCCCAGGAGAAACACAGGCAGGGAGCTGGTAACACAAACTCTTACCACCTCCTGAAAGAGAACAATGAAAAAATATCTGTCAGGTTCTGTCTTCAGAGCATGAATGTAAAAGTTACAAAAGAAATCATATCATTAATAGGACACCAAGGCATATTGTCCCTGGTGCCAACAATTTGCCATACTCAAATGACTCAAACTATTATATTTAGGCAATTTAAATAATGTGTAAAAATGATCTTTAAAAAAAAAGTGTTTTTTTTGTTTTTGTTTTTGTCTTTGAGACAGAGTCTCATTCTGTTGCCCAGGCTGGAGTGCAGTGGTGCCATCTGAGCTCACTACAATCTCCACCTCCCAGGTTCAAGCAATTGTCATGCCTTACCCTCCCCAGTAGCTAGGACTATAGGCATGCACCACCACATCCTGCTAATTTTTGTATTTTTAGTAGAGACATTGGCCAGGCTGGTCTTGAACTCCTGACCTCAGGTAATCCACCTGCCTCAGCCTCCCAAAGTGCTGGGATTATAGGCACAAGCCACTGCGCCCGGCCTAGGACATCTTATATAGACATATATAATAGCAAAGGCAAGAATTAGGGCAGGAAACTTAAAATGTAGTGGAATACAGTAAAGTTTTTATTTCTAGTAGTAGAAGAGTCTCTAAAAATGACACTAGGATTAAAATAATTACTTTCTATATAATGTTTATTTACTTTTATTATTTATAAATCCCATCACTTTGGGAGCCTGAGGCAGGTGGACTGCTTGAGCCCAGGGAATTTGAGATCAACTTGGGCAACACAGTGAGATCCCATCTCTACAAAAAATTTAAAAATTAGCCAGGTGTGGTGGCACATGCCTGTAGCCCCAGCTTCTTGGGAGGCTAAGGTGGGGGGGATTGTTTGAACCCAGTTGAAGCTGCAGTGAGCTGTGATAGCACCACTGTATTCCAGCATGGGTGACAGATCAAGAGACCCTGTCTCAAAAATAATAAGAAATAAAAATAAAATAAACCTTATTTGGAATATTTACACACACACTATATATTATAATTATATATAATAGACATATTATATACAATACAATATACATATTATATATAATTATATATTATATATATCTCTCTCTCACAAGTGGTTGAAATTGGGGTGGAAGGACCTTAAAAATGCCGTCTTGAAACCCTAAAGGACAATGGGAAGCCCTGGAAAAAAAAAATCAATGGATTAGATCATTGCCAAGGTTTTTTCCAGCGTTAGAGTTCTGAAACACCAAAATAGGGTTGAAAGGAAGGCACAGAGTGATTAATAAATTAATAAAAATTGAAATGCTGATTATTAAGCCAAGGCTATCTAAATCTAAAAACCAGGATGAAAAAGTTCAGATGCCCAGTCAACATTATACAATAATGACAGCACTAGCTAACTTGCTAAAGGTCACAAGTCAGGTGATAGACAGAGGGAGGACTACACATAGGTACTGAAACTGCAAATTCTCCTTGCGCTCTGCCCTGTTGATTTAATATTCTCATGTGAATGACTATAAATCATTGAACAGCTGTCATAAGCTTTAACAGCACAATGAATGTCCTAGACTCTTTAAAGTGGGGCCAACACAATATCGTGCTAAATGATTTTCATTTAATCCTCATGCCACTCTGTGAACCAGGTACTTTACTGCTATCACCATTGCACACATGAGAAAATGGGCCCAGGGAGTAAAGTGCCTTGCATGTGGCCACACTGCTGTGAGCAGCAGAGCTGTTCTTTAAGTCCAGGCCTTTGGTCCATAGCTGATGGACCACTATGCATATATGCATATATGATTTAACCACTATGCAACACCAGATTGTTGCAAATAAACTGCCAGAAATGGTCATGGTCTCTGACAGCGATTTTTCTGTTTGATTTCCAAAACTGCTTAGACTAGAAAAAAGAAAAATTCCCAAAGAAAAATTCTAGATCAGTTCAACACAATGAGCTTCGAGTTGAAAATCTTACAGGGCTATAAACTTCATGATGTCAACAACCAGAACAAAGGATATAAAGTAATATGCTTTCTCACTATGGTACAGGAGGTTTAAGAGGTCCCTAAATGATAGAAATACTGTGTAGGTGGTCTTTTTATTTCTATTAAAGAGCTTTCATTTAACATCTGCCAATGGATTCCTGCCAATTCACTTCTAAAAATACATACCAGTCGGCATCAGGATAAAACAGTCTTCACCAAGCAGTGCAGCATTGATCGCCTCTAGCTGATTAGTTCTAAAATTATGCAGGCCAAATTTTTTATGAAAAATCTTCATCATTTCCTTTGTATGAGGAAAACTAAGACTTTGGAAACGCTCATGTTTCAGATTTCTGGATGCTAAATTTTGTGCTGACTTGTCTAGGAAAATAATCAACGTTAAGAAAAATCAGTACATGAATACAGTGAAAGTACAGCTTTAGCATTTCCCTTGCCCTGCAGAATCACTGGCACACGTTTCCCTGCAGCACAGTTCTTAAACTCTTTACTGGCTTTCCTTCCCTACAAGTCTCAAAGCCACCAAAAACTTGCCAAAGTCCCAAATCAAGTATTTCCTTGACTTTTTCTACAGCACCTACCACTACTTTTATTCTTTCCTTCCTCTTCTCCCTTCCTCCAACCATGACCACCAAGACAATCATGGTTTTCTACTCATTTTAAATTCCCTTTCCTGGCTCTACTACCTCCATCTGCCCCATAAATAGGGGAGGGAGTCTTTCAGATATTTGGGACTGGGCTCTGTAGACATTCTTTTTTGGAGCTTTCCTAGTCCTATGATCTTAAACATGACCCGTGTGCAGCAAATGCCTACACCTCTCTTAAGACCCAACTGACACCCTCCTAAGTTCCAGTCCTGCACACAGCTCCCGTTGTCTGCAAGACATTGGTACCTGAATGACTTACCAGCACTTTAACCTCTAGACTTAAACTAGCCCTTCTCAGCTTTTCTCCAAATCTGACTCCGCCTCCTGACTCCCCTGTTTGTGTTACTGGTGTCACAGTTTTCCCAGTCATCAGTGTCTGAAACCTTGGAGTCATCTGAGCTTCCTCAGGCTCTTCTTTCATAACATCTCTCACACGTGCCCCTGCTCTGCAGCCTGGCTGTCGCAACTCTGGTTCAGCACAGAGAACAAGAGGTACTCACGGAGCTCTGGCAGTTACGCTAACCCCAACACTCAACTGTCTCAAGATAATTGCAAACATCAAGTATGACACATTCTAACATGATACAAAAATAAATCCATTAATCGTTGTTTTAAAGGTCAGCAGCGTAACTGTAAGAAAAACCTCCGTGGTATTAAGTCATCAATGGCAAAAATAGGGAGGGCTGTACTTTATAAACTTATTTCAGCTAAAAAATACTTTTGATAACTTTATAGGGTTGATGTAAGGTTTTAAAATTATTTTTGGCTTTTCTCTGGAGCCTTCAGTGGCTAATTTCATTCCTCTCAAAACTTCTCTCTCACTAAGCTGTGAGCTCCAGGAGGGCAGGAACTACTTAGTATTTGTTATTCATCTTTAAATGATCGGCGCCCAACATAGCACATGGCATGCAGTGAGCCCTTAGACCCAAAGAAGTAGTTTGACTGATTTAAGACACTCCTGACTTCATATCCTTTATAGACTACCCTATATTTTAACATTTTAACACATAAAACATGCTTCTCTACTTTGTATTAATCGATTCTCATCAGTACAGAATTCTAAAATACATTTTTAGCATGCGAATCCATTTTTGCTTTTGCCCATCCCAAAATCATTAAAAACTTGGCCCTCATGAGTTTGTTTTAGGAACTAAAAAATGTTAATTCAAAGGCACATCACATTTGTAATGACTTTAGAGCCGTACTACAATAGGTTATAATTACACATTTTATAAAACTACAGCTGCTATAGAGACAAAAGAGCAACTTGCTTTTGAAATTGTGATTTGTAATTCATATCATCAGTAGAAATTTGCATAGCAACAATGTTTTCAGGCAATGATGATTTGCTATGGTTTTTCTTATATAATTCCTATTTTGGGACAGTTTTGTTTTCATATAAGCATTCAATTTATTTTAAACTTACCAGTATAATTCTGAATTGACTCTGAGAAGTTTATATTTTGAGCAGTAGATGACACTGGAAGACAGTCTGTCTTGGCTGAGGAAAGTCTTTCTGATACTGATTTAATTGGCCGACCTTCCTTGATGGGTTGATAGGCAGCTGTGGAAGATTTGCTGGCTGCTAAATTATGCATTATGTCTTCCCAGTCATCATCATCATCAAAGTCATCTATGTCAAAATTATCAATATCATAGGAAGGTTGGGTTTCTCTTTCTAAGTCATTTATTGAAGCAGTATGTTTATTCTGATCTTTCACAGCAGTGCTTGTGAGAACATTTCCTGGGAAATAAGAGCTTTCATTTTTTTTTCCTAGTCTTGGTGTTTCAGCCCAGTTGCTACTTACAAAGGACTTCTGTAAATGGGTATTGAATAAAGGCCTTTCAAAAAGATTCTTCCTGGTGGCAGAGAATCCTGTCTTTCCTAGGGTGGTAGTCAGTAAACAGTCCCCAGGAGAAACAGAATTTGAGGGAAGGTGTGAAAAATTTAACTCCTTCATAGAATTCCCTGTAGGGCAGGAATCACCCTCCATAGGGCCATCAAGTGAATCAGGCCTGTATCTCCACAATGAGCCAAGAAGACTGGCATCACTTTTATTAAAATCTACTTCCGTTAGAAGTTTCCTTCTGAAGAGAGAAAAGAGAACAACGTATTAAATATAAGTAGTTTACTCTGGTAGGCCACAAAAGCAAATCTGTAGTTTTCATACCAAATAGAAATTGTAGCAAAATATATTCGCTTTTTTCCCAATCTTAAAAACATGAATACGAATGTTAAAGGAGTGGTTTGAAAAGTAAACAAATCAAAAACATAGTGGCATGATGATCATCCTTATGCCATTTCCAGGCCAGAAAGCCTGAACATTTTGCCCTGTCCATTTTTCACTTAGAGTGGTAGAAATATAATCAGATATATTCCAGAAGGGGGAAAATTAAGATACCTTATGTTCCGCTGCTGAAGCAGTTCGTTCCCACAATCCAAAAGTTTCAGTTTATCATCAGGAATAGTATCAATTAATTTACAGATGTGCTCCATCACATGAATAAGCTGCTGCTGTAAACTTATCTGTCTAGCTATAAAATAATTATGTTGTTAATATTTTTCTTTGAGGGAAAAAAAAAAAAGTCTTGGCTAGGCATGGTGGCTCATGACTGTAATCCCAGCCCTTTGGGGAGGCCAAGGCAGGAGGATTGCTTAAGTCCAGGAGTTCAAGACCAGCCTGGGCAACACAGTGAGACCCTGTCACTAAAAAAAAAAAAAAAAGTCTTAAGATCTTGATTTCTTTTTCTTTTTTTTTTTTTTTTTTAAAGTGGGGCTGGGCACGGTGGCTCACGCCTGTAATCCCAACACTTTGGGAGGCCAAGAAGGGTAGATCACCTGAGGTCAGGAGTTCGAGACCAGCCTGGCCAATGTGGTGAAACCCCGTCTTTACTAATAATATAAAAATTAGCCGGGCATGGTGGTGCGTGTCTGTAATCCCAGCTACTCGGGAGGCTGAGGCAGGAGAATCGCTTGAACCTGGGAGGTGGAGGTTGCAGTGAGCTGAGATCGTGCCATTGCACTCCAGCCTGGGGGACAAAAGTGAGACTTTGTCTCACAAAAAAAAGAAAGAAAGAAAGAAAGAAAGAAAGGGGGTCTGGCTCTGTTGCCCAGGTTAAACTGCAGTGGTGCAATCACTGCTCACTGAACCCTCAAACTCTTGGGCTCAAGAGATCCTCCTGCCTCAGCCTCCCCAAGTAGGTGAGACTACAGGCCTATGCCACTGTGCCCAGCAACACAACACATCTTCTTCTTTTTTTTTTTTTTAATTAATTATTTTTTGTAGAGACAGGGTCTTGCCATGTTGCCCAGGCTGGTCTCAAACTCCTGGGCTCAAGTGATCCTCCCGCCTTGGCCTCCTAAAGTGCTAGGATTACAGGTGTGAGCCACTGTGCCCAGTCAAGTCTTAAGATTTTGAAAGTCACATATGTAAAATATGAAGCAGTGTAAAAACAAGATCATAAACAACCATATATTGTCCTATTATCTTCCTGTGAATTAACTTGAAATTGGGTTGTCTCTACGCTTTATCATAAGAGCTCATAACTGTTTTCATTTAATTTCATAATATTTAATAAATAATATTTCTTGGGGTAAGCAAGGTCATTGGCTGGAACAAAGGTTTATCAGTTAACTATGATTTTATTTTTAACTAACTTCATGTGCAAAGCTCACTGTGCCAACACAAAGTGTATTGTTAAGCGTTGGACAGGCAAGAGCCCTACCTGTTGTTTTGATCTGCCTGGAATCCAGGCTTCCCTTTAATGGTAACATATACTGTTACCAAGATTTCCTATTAGACCTACCCTTCCCACTCCCTCAGTAGGCATCTGACACAAGGCAGCCCAGTGAAAATTAACTCTGGAAATACTTAGGGCTGACTGGGAAAAAGTACCTCCCTTTTTCCAAGCTTAATATGATTCTGGTGGCCATTTCTGTCACCTTATAAAGAAAGACAGATTTCAAATAAGATTGATACAAAGGAAAAGTAGAAAGCACATAGAAAGAAATGGAGGTTTGACCCGGAGAGATGGGACAGAAGAGAGGAGAGAGAAGGGAAGTGAGAGACAGAGCAACTCCTGATATGATGTTTGAACAACTGAATCCTGCCAGCCCACTCCCATTTTAAAAATTAAGCCATAACTAATAAATAGAATTTCAAAGCAGTAGAGGTTTTATTTTATTTTATTTTTTGAGACAGATTCTTGCTCTGTCTTCCAGGCTGGAGTGCAGTGGTGCAATGTCGGCTTACTGCAACCTCCGTTTCCCCGGTTCAAGTGATTCTCCTGCCTCAGCCTCCTGAGTGCCTGGGACTACAAGCACACGCTACCACGCTCGGCTTTTTTGTATTTTTATTAGAGATGGGGATTTGCCACATTGGGCAGGCTGGACTCGAACTCCTAAACCTCAAATGATCCACTCACCTCGGTCTCCCAAAGTGCTGGGATTACAGGCGTGAGCCACCGTGCCAGCCCTTTCCTTCATCTAAAACCTCAGCTGCGCCTGGGTATGGTGGCTCACGCCTGTAATCCCAGCACTTTGGAAGGCTGAGGCTGGAGGATCACCTGAGATCAGGAGTTTGACACCAGCCTGGTCAACGTGGCGAAACCCTGTCTCTAATAAAAATACAAAAAAGCTGGGCATAGTGGTGCATGCCTGTAGTCCCAGCTACTCAGGAGGCTGAGGCAGGAGAATCACTTGAACCTGGGAGGCAGAGGTTGCAGTGAGCAGAGATTGCGCCAGTGCACTTTAGCCTGGGTGACAGAGCGAGAAAAAAAAAAAAAGATGAAAAAAAGGAAAAAAAATGGCAATAGGAAGCAAGGACAACAGATGCCTTTGCCACCTCTCAGGCCTAAAGTCTGTGAGAGTAAAAAACAGTTTAGGTGGGCTGCAGGGGAAACAGTACATATCCTCAGAAAACAATTAGAGAAAGAAGGGGAAGAAAATGATCAGAGAAGCGGATGAGGCTACAGGGACATTGCTGACAGAGCAGTCAGTTAAATGGTTTACAAGCCAGGAAGGACAGGAAGTGAGGACAGAACAGGGAGTGAAGATGGCAGGGTGAGGAGGGGCATCTGCACAAGAATGGCCTGGGAAATTTGGACTTCTGGTGACTGAGAGAAATGTGAGGTATGAGATGTAAAATGGAATTGCTGAATTCCTATCTTACTTCTGTTTTCTCTGCAAGGAAAACAAGCATCAGATTGGAAAGAGAATACACAATGGTCGGATGGAACTGAAAGCCAAGACAGGCTCAGAGGGAGATAAAAGGGGGTACCTAGCTATCAGAGACTAGCCCAAGACTCCTTGTCTAGACAGATTATACCTCAGAGTACAAAGGAAACCTGCAAACAGGATCTCAGAGCCCCTGTCACTGACACGTGTGTGAGGCATCTAGTGAATAAGAGAACTGATGGAAAGTGAGGACAGACAAACATTGTTCTAATTTTCAAAAAATTTGAAAGTGATTGCCAAAAACTACAGGCTGGTGATTTGATGTAAATTCAAAGCAAAATTCTAGAGCCTGTTATCAAATAGCTGCTTTGTGAGCTCTAAGGGGGAGGAAACAATAATAGAGTTAGCAAAAGTTCATAAAAACAAACCATCCGTCTTAATGTATTTCCTTTTTTAAAAGGATTACTAGACTGGCAGATAACAATAGTTATCATTTATGAAAGGCCTGCAGTGTACTAGGCACTTTATCTTGAATCCTGACAACTACCCAGCAAGGTAGATATCATTCTCCTCATTTTATAGAAGAAAAAACTGAAGTCCAGAGAAGTTTAACTATTTGCCATAGTCACATAGTCAAGAGTAGGAGGAGACAGGTTTCTATTACAGGTCTGTAGGACTCTAGAGTCAATGTCCCACCCATTCCTTCTTGCTGCCTCACACCTCTAACTTTTTGGAGTCACATAGTCAAGTCTTTTGTGTCTCCATGGATAAAGAACAGAAACATGGTCTGAAGACAGATATGTAACTAGCTGAACAAGAAGTGGTGATGAATGGACTGTTGTAAGCCAAGAGGGAAGCCTCTATTGACATGCTGTAGAACTCTGTCCTTGCCCCTGTTCTAGCTAACCATTTTATTAGTGAAACTTAATGATACAGAGACAGTATAATGCAGTTGTTATCAATGAAAACTCAAAAGCCTCAAGACTGCTGTGTTCAGATCCTAGCTCTGAGGCTAATTCTATGACGGTGTGTAACTATTTAACGCTCCTGTACCTTAGTTTCATTATCTGTTAAATGGGGATAACAGAAACTACCTTAAAGTGGGCCAGGCGCGGTGGCTCACGCCTGTAATCCCAGCACTTTGGGGGGCCGAGGTGGGCGGATCACAAGGTCAGGAGATCAAGACCATCCTGGCTAAAATGGTGAAACCCTGTCTCTATTAGAAATACAAAAAATTAGCCAGATATGGTGGTACACACCTGTAATCCCAGCTAATCAGGAGGCTGAGGCAGGAGAATCACTTGATCCTGGAAGGCGGAGGCTGCAGTGAGCTGAGGTTGTGCCACTGCACTCCAGCCTGGGTGACAGAGCGAGACTCCGTCTCAAAAAAAAAAAAAAGGAAACTACCTTAAAGTTTGAGGTAGTTTATGGTGATGACTGAATTAGTTAATATTGTAAGGCACTTTATAAGAGCGCCCAGCACATCAGTCACCTCCTGAATATCTCTAAAATAAATTGAGTCCAAAATAAACCACAAAAAAACTGGAGGAAACAAAAACAACACACAGAGAACACTACACACATGACCCGCACATGCATGCAGACGTCGCTAAAAAAGCCCAGCAGCCCTCAGACTCGAATGCACGACAGAGATATCCAGAGAACAAAGAAGAGCTCTCGGAAATTGCCTTGATAGAAATTTAAAAATTCCACAGAAGAGTTAAAGATAAAATCAAGGAAATATCCTAAAAAGTAGAAAATCAAGAGATGAAAAATAGAAAAGATAATTAATGGAAGTCTAACATGCAAATCATAGAAGTTCCAGGAAGAGTGAAAAAGAGAAAAAGAAGGTAAAAAGAAATAATGCCAGAAAAATGTCTACAAGAGGATGTATATTTTCAGACTGAAGGTGCCTCTGAGCAGCAGACACCAAGAGTGGGAAGGGGGACTGTCGTTTATCAAAGTCTTGCACTGCTATCTGATTATTTACACTAGATATTTAATAAAAAATAAAAAATGAATTAGAAACAAAACAAGCAAACAAGTATTTAGCTTTAAATGAACATCAAGACCCAGACCTAGACTCAGAGTATATACAAGGGAGAACCGGAGGATGAAAGGTCAAGAAAGCAATTTCTAGCAAGGAGAGTTAAAAGACCTAATAATATTTAGTCAAGGAGGGGGAGGGAAACTCTATTATGATGAGATTACGCTCTGTGGTCCGTGTTTCTGAAACACAGGATTTTGTGGAAGTTCTCATTTGTAAATAAAAATTTAAAAACCTCCTAGAATTAAAGTTGCAGATCTTGGCTCAGTATGAGAGATGATTTCTAACAAGTAGCATTTTCAAAATGGGGAATGAACGCCCTTGTGAGAGCATGAGTTCATGAGTTGTTCAGGCAAATGCTGGCTAACCAGTAAACAAGGTTATGACATTAGAAGAAAAGAAACTACAAATCTGCCATTTTATAACATACAGCCACAGGTTCAAAACACAATCTTTGTGTTACGTTGTTTTCAAAAGTAAGTAGTTGAAATACATGGTATGTCTAAAATATTGCTTGTACCGTCACAGTCTGTGCTGGTTTCTGGATTCAGCTCCTGCATACTCATTTTCTCAGGTTTTGACAAAAGATCTTTTGATGTGCTAAGAACATCCTCTTTTCTGTCAGAGGTGTCAAGGTCCTTTAACGTACTGCAAATAAAAAAAATGTTAAGCCAATCATACTATAGGCTAGACTCAATAAATGTATAATTTTGAAACCCTTAATATTTTTCTACCACTGATCAGACAATATATAACAGAAAAGAGAAGTAGTTTTTTAAATTTCCTCAATTATAAAACTTCTTTAGCTGGTCCTCAAAGTTGTCCAGAAAGAGCCCTTTTCAACATTATCTCCGATTATGTCCTTTCAGTAACACAAATCTTCAGTCATACTGTACCACTTACATTCTTCATATAAGCCCTGCATTGCCTATTTTGGGGATTTTGCCACTGATCCTCTCAATTTGGAAAACCTGCCATTCCAATCTCTTCGTACCCAAATCACACCTGTTCTTCTAGCCCCAGCCAAAGCATTACTTCTCCAGCAAGTGATTATTAATGTCTCTTTTTTCTGAGATTTCAAAGCACTTTTTCTGGACTTCTCTTATTATGCAAATATATGTACATGTGTTTTTGTGTGTCTGCATATATAATTACCTCACCACACAGATTATACAAAAACATATTAACATATAAACCTGGTCAGTCTGATTACATAGAAAAAATACTTTACAAATAACAAAATAAATTAGTACTGAATGAGTGTTAAAGAGAGGATACTGTGGAAATCCAAAGAAAGGTAACATTTTTTGGAACTTTAGAAGGCTTTGCCAAGGAGATAAGATTTAAGCAAACTGAATGACAAGTATGGGGAAAGTGTCAGACTATGAAAGAAAGATTTTAAAAAGGACATTTCTATTTGCTTGACATCTGGGAATCAACTGTATTTTCCTAAAGAATAATTTTGGAATGCAACTTTCTAACTAAATCAAAACAGTGTAACTTTTTAATATTATTTTTTAAACAATAACATTATAATTAAAGAAAATGATATGCTTTCTAGATTGTTGGTTTGACTCATTAAAACCACTGGGTTATTGCAAGGGCATAAGTGGAGATAAAGCTGAAAAAGGTAAATTGTGGCCAGAAGATGGAGAATCTTGAGGGCCAGCTACAGAGGTTTTGGAAAAGAGGAGTTTGAAAAACAGGTCTCTCTTCTCTGTTATATACTGTCTGACCACTTGACTTCTGAAATTCAGAGGTTACAACCAGTATTTTTTAAAACTGAAATAAAATGTAGCATAGAATTTAAGCTGTGCATTGCACAAAAAATATTGTGAAAATTCTATTTCAGTTTTATAATATATACACATATGTATACTAAGTTACAATGGGAAATGTACAAAGAGAGTCTACCTTGGAAATACTTTGTAAAACAAGCTTTTTTAATTGCTAAGACTCTAGGTAAATTTATTTATGATATGACAATTTGATAAATTATGTAGCCATTAAAAGGAATTAAATATGTAGCAATTGGAAAATGATTTAGAAATAATGCTAAGAGAAATAAAGTAGAATATAAAATTATAATTACATGTTGATTACAACAATGCAGAAATCAAACACACATGTATCAAAACTGAAGATGGATAAAGAAAACAGTCAGAATTGTGGGACTACTAGTATTCCTTCTCTCTCTCTTTTTAATTTTTTAGAGATGAGGGTCTCGCTATGTTGCCCAGGCTGGAGTGCAATGGTTACTCACAGGCATAATCACAGCATACTACAGCCTTGAACTCCTGGGCTTAAGGGATCCTCCTGCCTCAGCCTCCTGAGTAGATGGGACTACAGGCCACTACCATGCCACCGCACCCAGCAGTGCTCCTTCCTTCTTATTTAGAATCCTTGTTAAAATGATTATATTATTTGCGTAACACACATTTTTAATGAGTAAAGAAAAAAGCCAGGCATTCAACAAGGAATCAGTATGACACCAGGGAAGGCACTACACTGGATCTGAGTCCATTTGTCATTCATTGTATCAACCTGGGCAATTCCTTGCTCCTCCCTGGGCCTCAGCTGTTTCACCTGGTAAATGAGAATGCTGGTTTAGAATTGAGACTCTATATAAACTTTTGCTCAGTTTAGTATATACTATACTCTACCACTCAACTGGTCTGAGAGTGAGACTGGGATGAGGACGAAGGTAACATTGACACTTAGCAATTTAAGCTGTTGATGAGTCGTGTGGAGTATCTATTTTTCTCGTAATACTACCAATTAACAATAATCATGTCACCAATTTGCTAAAATTGAGTGAATAACAAATACAATGGCCAATTCTATCCTGTAGGATTTTTTTAAAAAGTACTAATGTCCTAATTCACTTCCCATATAATGGGTTAGCTTTGTGTCATTTCAGGTCAGGTTTGGAAATATAATATTTTTAGAAATATATTCCTTATGTCAAAATCAACTATATAAGGCCAGGCAAGGTGGCTTATGCCTGTAATCCTAGCACTTTGGGAGGCCAAGGCGGGCGGATTGCCTGAGCTCAGGGGTTCAAGACTAGCCTGGGCAACATGGCAAAACCTCGTCTCTACTGAAAATACAAAAAATTAGCCAGGCATGGTGGTGTGCACCTGTAGTTCCAGCTACCTGGGAGGCTGAGGCACAAGAATCACTTGAACCCGGGAGGTGGAGGCTGCAGTGAGCCAAGATCATACCACTTCACTCCAGCCTGGGTGACAGAGCGAGACTGTCTCAAAAAAAAAAAAAAATCAGCTACCTAAAATTGTTTGAAGTTTCATGTAATTAATCATAATGGGACTTCATCTTTAGAATGCAACCAATTAAATGTATAAACAGGGTTTTTTTTTGAGGCTTTCACTTGAATGTAAAATAATTGTAGAAAGCACAAAATACTTTTATATAGAAATGATATTATAAACTAAATTAAACAATTTAAAGTATCCCAGAAACAAATAATAATGCTAATTATTTAGCTAGTTTACCTAAGGCATTTTGAAGAGGAAGAAGAAGCAGAAATAATTTCTTCTGGAGAAGGTGGAACAAAATCCGTATCATAATCATCATCATCAAATTCAATACATGGAACTTTCTCAGTTGAATGTAATTCAGCTTCTTCCAAATTCTTCTTCTTTTCGCTATTATCTACAGTAAAACAGTTGATAAACATAGATTTGTTAACCACTAATGAGACAGAAAGAACAGGGCATGAGCGATTAAGAATGAGTGCTTCTGGCAAGTCACAAACAATCACACCACTTTGTATGGATCCTCTCCCTTTACATGCTAATGCTGGCTTATTTATTCATAAATGATTACTATTGAGTCAAGTGGATTAAGTCCAGTGAATGCTCGACTGAGGCCGAAGATTTGCTTAGGGATTTTCATGTCTGTCTCTGGTTAATTACGAAACACGTATTTGCTATTGACGTTTCTAGTTTTTAACTTTTCACTCATATTTAAATAAGGGTAAAGTGCAACAGATAAGTCTGATAATAACACAAACACGGCTGCTTGTACAAATCATCTTTAACACAAAGTTTCCCAGTTATTTAAGTCTCTCTTTTGGACTATGTGGGAAAACACAACCCAAATTGTTGCTGTCTATCTTTTAACAAATTTTCCCTTCAGAAACAGAGGCATCATTGATGAGACTATAGTTTTGCTTATCGTCAATCACTTTTCAGTGCTCTCTCACCCTAGAGTAACCTTAATGGGATTCAGGGGTTTAAAAATTTTACTCTCATATTTGCAACTGCTTCATAAGGTGAGTTACTTCCCCATGTGGGTAATCTCAGTTACTCAATTTTGGACATTAAATAATTACAAGATCTAGCCAGGAAAAACTTTGAATGTAATTTATAATACTTTAATAGTGCAATTAGAGCACATTATACATCAATATTAGGTGGCAACAAGCCATAAAGGAATTACAGTAGAAAGGCTTAGTTTCATTTTCCAATTTACCACTAACCACCATTTTAACCTCTATGGATCTTACGGCAGCAACCCCCTTATCTTCAGGAAATATGTGACAAGACCCCGGTGGATGCCTGAAATCTCGGATAGTATCAAACCCGATAAGTACTATGTGTTTTCCTATACATACATACCTATGATAGAGTTTAATTTATTAATTAAGCACAGCAAAAGGTGAACAACTAATGAAATAGCACAATTATAACAATATTCTGCAATAAAAGTTATTTGACTGTGGTCTCCCTTGCTCAAAATATCTTACTCTACTCACCCTTCCTTTGTAAAGATATAAGATGATAAAAAATGCCTATATGATGAGATGAAGAGAGGTGAATGATGTAGGCATTGTGATGTAAATGGAAAATCCCAGAAATAAATTAATTCATAAGTGTTCAGTTTCAAGCTGTTTTGAGTATAGTGTGATAAAATCTTGCCCCGACCTGATCTGTCCACCTGGGTTGCTGTTAATCACTTAGTAGTGGTCTCAGTTATCAGATTGACTGTCGCGGTATTGCAGGGCTTGTGTTTTCTTAATAATGGTCCCAAAGCGCAAGAGAAGTGATGCAATATTTTCAGACCTCAGCCGGCTGCGGGTAACTGAAACCTCAGAGAATGCAAAGCTGTGGACAAGGGGAAACTCCTGTATTTTCTTCATGTATAAAATCACAGAGCTATCCTGGAAACTATATTAGCAGACTAAAACCTTCCATTTCATCAGTACGTCCTGCCTCAAAAATGTGGCCAACAGATTATTCAAAAAGCACCACTAAAGACCCTAACAACCTTAAGGACAAAAGCTCTATATATTCATGACTATTCCCAATGGCTAGCTTTGAATAAAAAAGTACAATGAACATACTAAAATGAAGATAAAATAATTGTTACCTCTTTCATCTTCCAAATGAGTTTTCAGAGAGTCACTTTCCTGAGCATCTTCATTTATATGCACTTCAGCAATGGGGCCATCATCGATGCAAATCACATCGCTGCTTAACCATTCTGAGTCATCCTTCTGTTCCTCAGTCAAATCTATTTGCTCGCTTTCAGAGGAGGGTGGAGGCAAATCAGTCTTTACTGTGTTTGTTGTATAAAGCTGTGCTTTAAAAAAGTTTCTCTTACCCTTTTTTGATTTCTGAGCAGTGCTTACTCTTACAAAGTGACTTTGGGGTGGTGTAACAAATGATTTTGAAGTCTCAGAAGTATCAAAGTCATCCATATCATCCCAATCATTGATGGTACTTAAAGAATCTGGTGAAGAACTAAATTCTAATTTCTTGAGAGCAGTATCCCGGGATTTCTTTACAGTTGGTGTGTTTTGGGTAGTGCATACAACTTCCTTCGGAGTCTGCAAGAAATCTGGCAATAATGATTTTGATCCACCTCTCTGTGTTTCCTGTCCTGCTGGAGCATTTTTAAAGAAGTCCTTGACCCTTTGCTGATTTGTGGTGTTGGGTAGAGGTTCACTGAAGGAAAAGTCTTCGGTAACATTAACATCTTTATTTCTTAATACAGGTGTTTTTGCTACTGACACATTAGTTACAGATACATTGTTATCTGAAGATGTTTTCTTTTTAAAAGTGAAACCTCTGAAAAATAATGGAAAAACTAGATTAGATGGATCCATTTTAAGAAACCCCCCAACTCTACAAAACTAATTTTTTAAACTAATTCACACAGGTTACATTAATTGTATCCCAACTGAGCAAAGAATCCATCTCTCTCGATTTTAAATTTATCAGGTAACTTAAATTGTATTCGTTCTCTGGTCCTTCCCATTCAGAGGCTAATTATTTGGCTTTGAGAGGTCATTCCCACTACTTTATTTCTCAGGCTAGTAGTCCTTAGTTAATAGCATCTCCAGAGCGGGGTGACAGCATAAATGAAAAAGGGAAGAGGCCGGGTGCAGTGGCTCATGCCTGTAATCCCAGCACTTTGGGAGGCCGAGGCAGGTGGAATGCTTGAGGTCAGGAGTTCGAGACCAGCCTGGCCAACATGGTGAAACCCCACCTCTAATAAAAACACAAAAAATTAGCCGGGCATAGTGGTGTATGCCTGAAGCCCTAGCTAGTCAGAAGGCTGAGGCAGGAGAATAGCTTGAACCCAGGAGGTGGAGGTTACAGTGAGCCGAGACTATACTGCCGCACTCCAGCCTGGGTGACAGAGCGAGACTGTCTCAAAAAAAAAAAAAGAAAAAAGAAAAACGGAAGAGATTCAAATATGGCTACTTTTTGCTACTCTGATAAGAACTTAAAGGGGAAAAAGAGTTAAAAACTGCTAACTCTGTTAAAATCTGCAGGACAAGTAAAAGACGCAGGAATCGTGGCTATCTGCTGGATTTAATGATCTCAAAGTCAGTGGTGACTTCAAAGCCAGGCACCCAGAACAAAGTCTACAACCTGGTAAAAGCATCACTTATAATATAAATTATTATTAGATATCATTAGAAGGAGTCTGGAGTATAGCTTAGAGGAGAGGCAGAACTGGAGAGCTGTAGTTTCCTTATAAACTGTTCTTCGAAAGTATATAAAATTATATTAAAATAATTGGCCGGGCGTGGTGGCTCACGCCTGTAATCCCAGCACTTTGGGAGGCCAAGGTGGGCGGATCACTTGAGGTCAGGAGTTTGAGACCAGTCTGCCCAACATGGACAAATCCTGTCTCTACTAAAAATACAAAATTAGCCAGGCATGGTGGTGCATGCCTGTAATCCCAGCTACTTGGGAGGCTGAGGCAGGAGAATCACTTGAACCCGGAAGACGGAGGTTGCGGTGAGCTAAGATTGTGCCATGGCACTCCAGCCTGGGCAAGAAGAGCGAAACTCCGTCTCAAAAAAGAAAAAAAAAAAAAGGCTGGGCACGGTGGCTCATGCATGTAATCCCAGCACTTTGGGAGGCCGAGGCAGGTGGATCATGAGGTCAGGAGATCGAGACCATCCTGGCTAACAAGGTGAAACCGTCTCTAAAAAATACAAAAAAAAATTAGCCAGGCGTGGTGGCAGGTGCCTGTAGTCCCAGCTACTCGGGAGGCTGAGGCAGGAGAATGGCGTGAACCCAGGAGGCGGAGCTTGCAGTGAGCCAAGATCGCGCCACTGCACTCCAGCCTGTGCGACAGAGCGAGACTCCGTCTCAAAAGAAAAAACAAAACAAAACAAAACAAACAAAAAAACCCCCCAAAACTTAAAAAACACTTATTTGCCCAAATTTACAAGATCAATTATTCATTTACTCAACAAATCTTTATTGAGCAAATATTATGTGCCAGGAACCATGCAAAGATGAGACACAATCTCACCTGGTGCTGCTAAAACATACTCTACCATTAATTGGCAAAGTGGGAAAATCAATGAATCTCTCAGCTTCATTTCCTCATCTGTACAATGGGGGAGTTTAAAGAGAAGATATCTCATGTGTACAATGTGGTAAGTTAGTGCCTATGTGACAGCAAACCAGTCAAAACACTTACGAAAATTTTGGTTTTGAAAGACTTAATTTATTATTAAGTGTTCTGGCTGAGTGACGTTCTAGTTGCTCCTGTAGATTATTTTGAGGAACAGCAGCCATAATCCTAAAAAGTGAGGGAAAAAGAAATCAGTGGAGTTAGGTACTTTGCATTAATCACAATGTTTTTTGAGGGGAGGAAGGACTTGATTCAAACAGGCATTGTTCCAACTGTGCCCAGAGTAATAGGACTTTTTTTTTTTTTTTTTTTTTTTTTTGGTCAATAGACTGTTTTGACATTTACAACTAGTGACACTTGAAATATATAATCTTCAACTAACTGAAGGCTCACTTGAATAACAGAATAACCAGGTTCCCCCTCTCTTCCTCCACAATGCTAAAATAAGTACAAAAGACATTAGGGAGGGGATTATTAGGAAAGGGCTTTTAGAAAAATGGGACCTGGCCTGGAAGGATAAATGAAAGCTGGAAGGGAGCGAGGTGGGAGGAAATGATCAAAGCACACGGAAAGCCCAAAGAACAAATGAATAACTGAATTCTGCACAAGGGCAGAACTGGGGAAAGGAGGAACACCACCACCAATGAGAGCAAAGGTTTACCAGCAAGATACTATGCTTCATAATCATCTAGTTTCAACCTGAAAGAATACGTTTACCAAGCACATTTATATCTCTGTGTAACAAGCTGTGGTAACGCTGAGCTATAGCCCAGGATAACAAACAGCTTAAACCACCTTAAAATTACTGGGGCTAAAGGAAGATCCTAGCTGTAATCCATGCATAGTTAAAAAAATCCTCACTTTAGCTGATAGTTATAACCCCATAAACCCTTTTCCCTACCTTTACTAGACATCTATTTTTATTTTATAGCATATATCTTAGGAGGCAGGGTTAACACTAGATGATATTTCTAGAAATATGAAGTTTCGCATAAGCCGTGTTCCACTCATTAACCCATATCTATCAACCATCTTGACTTTAGATAACAGTGAAAATCAGAATTTAGAAGAAACTAAGTTACATCCAATTGAGAAATCTTCATGTTTATAAGCATGATCATAATACAGCTTTTGTCCCACTTTCTCCAGAAGGAATTATTTCTGCTTCTTTTCCCTCTTTAACATGCTTTAGGTAATATAGCTAGTTATTTAATAAACATTGAATAATTCACACTGGCATGTGAATTATATCTTAATTATTACCCCCAAAAAAGTAGATGGAAGGAATGAATCCCTACATACCTATCACCCAGATTCAACAATTATCAACTCATCCAATATTGTTTCAGCTATACATACACCCTGAGGTCCTTACTCCACCATTTTGGAAGTCCACCTCCAAAATGGTGACATTTCGATTCTGTTATTACTTCTTTCACTCATTAGCAGGAATACTTTTTGTTTGTTTGTTTTCTTTCTGAGACAGGGTCTTGATCTGTTGCCCAGGCTGGAGTACACTGGCTCAATCACAGCTCACTGCAGCCTCGACCTCTTGGGCTCAAGTGATCCTCCCACCTCAGCTTCCTGAGTTATCTGGGACTACAGGTGTACACTACCACAACCCAGCTAATTTTTAAATGTTTGGTAAAGACAGGGTCTCACCATGTTGACTAGGCTGGTCTCGAACTCCTGAGCTCAAGTCATTCTCCCACCTCAGCCTGCCAAAGTGCTAGGATTACAGGTGTGAGCCATGCGTAGCCAGCTGTAAGACTTTTATCGTAAGTTTCAAAATAATGATGCAGTACACTAAAAGCCCATACTTCACTACTATACAGTATATTCACGTGGCTGGCAGCAGTGGCTCATGCCCATAGACCCAGCACTTTAGGAGGCTGAGGTGAGCGGATCGCTTGAGCCCAGGAGTTTGAGACCAGGCTGGGCAACATGGCAAAACCCTGTCTCTAAAGAACTATAAAAAAATTAGCCTGGCATGGTGGTGCGGGCCTGTGGTCCCTGCTACTCAGGAGGCTGAGGTGGGAGGACTGCTTGAGCCTAGGAGGCAGATATTGCAGTGAGCTGAGATTGTGCCACTGCACTCCAGCCTGGGCAACAGAGCAAGACCCTGTTTCAAAAAACAACAAAAAAGAAGTCTACACTTGTATCCCTTACATACATTAACAATAATAAATAAAAAATGATATTCATTCTTTCACCACCTTCAAATAGTGATGAATTTTTTTTCAGTATCATTATGAACTCATGGATTAAACATATTAGGTGTGTTTCAATCCAATACAGTGATCATCCTTATTGATTCTCAAATTGATTCATGTTTGGCCAGTGGGAGTCTTTTCAGGCGGGCTCTTCAGTCCTTATGACTTAACCTTATGAGTCATTGAGAGCTTCTTTCCTCTCAAAAGATGTTCCAGGCATACCTTATGCATTTTTTTGCACCAGATTTGGAATCGGCCATTTCGTCAAGCATCCCTAATTCTTGTTTTCTTTTTCTTTTTTGAGACAGGGTCTCACTTTGTTGCCCAGGCTGGAGTGCAGTGGTGACTCACTGCAGCCTCCGCCTCCCCAGCTCAAGTGTTCCTCCCACCTCACCCTCCCACACAGCTGGACCACAGGTGCACACCACCATGCCCCACTAATTTTTTTGTATTTTTGGTAGAGATGGGGTTTCACCATGTTTCCCAGGCTGGCCTCGAACTCCTGTGCTCAAGGGATCCTCCTGCCTCCGCCTCCCAAAGTGCTGGGATTGCAGGTGTGAGCCACCGCGCCCAGCCTCCCTGATTCTTTTTAATGGAGAATATTTTAAGACCTTAATCTCTGCATTTCCTAGGGCACTTCACCATTTGGAATCCAGTTTAAAAGTATTGATCTTGGCTGGGCACGGTGGCTCACGCCTGTAATCCCAGCACTTTGGAAGGCCGAGGTGGGCGGATCATGAGGTCAGGAGATCAAGACCAACCTGGCCAATATGGTGAATCCCTGTCTCTACTAAAAATACAAAATTAGCTGGGCATGGTGGCATGTGCCTGTAATCCCAGTTACTTGGGAAGCTGAGGCAGGATAATTGCTTGAACCCGGGAGGCAGAGGTTGCAGTGAACCGAGATTGTGCCACTGCACTCCAGCCTGGTGACAGAGCTAGACTCTGTCTCAAAAAATAAATAAATAAATAAAAAATAAAAGCCTTGATCTTTTGTTGAGGCGTCCCCTCTTCAAGGTCCTGTACAATGTGGGAGTCTTTCCCACATGAATAAATACGAAGTGATAAAGAGTGAAGTCAGACTATTGCCCTCTAAGAATTTCAACATCAACAAAGTAGACTACTGACAAGGAGGCAGAGGTACACAGATCTTCAGTCTTAATGACACTAAGCAGAACAAAGTGGTCTATGGCATCATTACTTACCCTTTTCCCACATTCCTTCCATAACTTACTTATTTTTGGATCAAAACTAGCCATGATATTTTAATAAGAGATTTCCTACATTACTCCACAGCATGGTTTTATATGTCTACTTAGCCATCCCAGGAGTACAATTGTTTGATTAACTATTTTATAACTGTAGTGATTACACTATGGATTCACAGCTAGCATGCAGTCAACCTTAACTCCAGGGGACCTCTTCCTGCTTTTAAAATGCACTGCTCTTTGGTTATTCCTCACGAGGTAGCACCCTCCAGCCAGAATCATATTCTGAAGTATGGTAATGAGTACATAATTTTCTTACTCAAAATCCTCAGTGGGAATGCTTTCAGGAAGTTGGTGAGTACTAAGAACCATAAGGGTGTCTCTTCTGTACATACTCCATCAAAATATCGATACAATTGTTGGACACAAAAAGAAAATTGTTCACCAACATGCCTGTAGTCTCAGCTACTCAGGAGGCTGAGGCAGGAGGATTGCATGAGCCCAGGAGTTCAGGGCTGTAGTGCACTATGATCACACCTGTAAACAGCCACTGCACTATAGCCTGGGCAACACTGTGAGACCCCATCTCTTAAAAAAAATTGTTCATCCACAATAACAAAGACCAGTGATAAAGGAGAAAAATTAACTGAAAACAAATAAATTGAGGCTAGTGAAGTTTCACAATATTAAAAAAAGGAACAATTTCTGGGTGCAATGAGCAACCAGAAACTAAAAAAATAAACCTATGAATTAGAATGACCACAAGAATCACAAGTTCAATCTGGAAAATGATTAAAATTTTCTCCTACATATATGAAAGAAGTTATCATGCCATTACAAAAGAATATAAATAAGCAGGCCAGGAGCGGTGGCTCACGCCTATAATCCCAGCACTTTGGGAGGCTGAGGCAGGGGGATGGCTTGAGCCCAGGAGTTTGAGACTAGCCTGGGCAACACAGGGAGATCCCATCTTTAGCCAGGCATGGTGGCACACACCTACAGTCCCAACTACTCAGGGAGGCTGAGGTGGGAGTATCCCTTGAGCCCAGGAGTTCGAGGCTGCAGTGAGCAATTCTGTGCCACTGCTCCAGCTGGGGTGACAGTGAGACCCTGTGTTTAAAAAAAAAAAAAAAAAAAGTCACAGGAAATGTAAGCTTCAAGCATTACCTTTAAAACTGGCTATTAAGAATTTTTCAAATAGGCTGGGCACGGCGGCTCACACTTGTAATACTAGCACTTTGGGAAGCCAAAGCGGGAGGATCGCTTGAGCCCAGGAGCTGCAGAGCAGCCTGGGCAACAAAGTACGACCTGTCTCTACAAAAAAACACAAAAATTAGCTGAGTGAGGTGGCACATGCCTGTAGTCCCAGTTACTCAGGAGGCTGAGGTGGGAAGGATCATTTGAGCCCGGGAGGTCGAGGTTTCAGTGAGCCATGATCACCCCACTGCACTCCAGCCTGGGCAACAGAGACCCTGTCTCAAAAATAAAAAAAGAATAAAAGTAAACACAATAAACCTTTAAAAAAAAAAGAGAGAGAGAGAGAGACATGGGATGGAGAAAAACACAGCAGAAAAAAAGAGTGCCTTTTCTTTGAAATAAGTGACACTAAAGTTACTGGTTGGGGATCTATCAAAATTAAGACTAGGTCAAACCTTACTTTTTATTCATTTTGTTGTCAAAGATGGCTATTTCAGTCTATCAAGGGATAGACTGCCAAAAAGACTACTCCAAGACATTCAGTGCCAAGTAACATTTAGATGTTTCTGTTTCCAGTCTTCTGCTAAAAGTGGAGATTTTAGGGGGTGGTTCCTGAAAAACAGAGCGTCGCTCTGTAAGCCTCACTCAGTGACTGTTCAAAGGGGAGGAGTTACTTTCCCTGGGGCAAAGGTGGTGAGCCTAACTAAGAACGATCAAAAAATCTACTTTTTGTATTTTTTTAAGTTGAGGTATTTATGAACCTCAGCTTTACCTTAACTGGGGCACTGGGGCAAGCAACTTTCTGTTCTCTGATAAAATTAAACATCAAACACAATTTCTAGACAAAGAGAGATTTTTGACAGAATTTTATGTCATATGTTCTCTTCGTTCATGGTTTCTTAAACTTCTTGATTCATATATATAGAATCACACAGTATGTATTATCAATGCATTTTTGAAAAGGCACCTAATAAAACTCAAACCATGTCTAACAAACACATTAAAACACAAAATTACAAGTGTTTAAAATCTAGAACCAACAAATACCATATATTTTACACTAGGGGTGAATCCATTAAAAACAACAGCAAAAACAATATTGTTCTCTCATTTTCACTCCCATATTGGATGCTCTTGCCAATGCAAAAATATTCGAAAAAGGAAATACTAGAAGAGATGAGATTATCATTATATGTAGACAACTTGATAATATACCAATACAACCCAAAGAAAATCAGTCATAACAATAGATAATTAGAACTTCAGAAAAGTGGCTAAAGATAAATATAGCTATAAATGTAGGGTAAAATCTCAGACCCTTCATAGTTTTTGACTTAATAGATGCACACACAGAGAGATAGAGAAAACAGATGGAAAATATGAGAAGTTAGGAGACATGGAAGACAGAGTAGAAAGTCTAACATAAATCTAGCCAGAGTTCCAGAAAGAAGAGAAAATAGGGAAGAATTAATATTTGAAAAGATAACAGCTGGGACTTTTCCAGGACTAATTAAAGACACTAACCTTCAGATTTGAGAAAGCCAAAAAATTCCAAGCAGAGATAAAAAGAAATCCACACCCAAATATATCAGTGTACCATATGGACAAAAAATTGATTTCTCTTTAGCAAAAATGAAAATCAAAAGACAGTGGAATGATATCTTCGATGTGCTGATAGAAATTAACCCAGAATTCTTTTCCCAGAAAAAATATCTTTCACAAATCAAGGGCAGTGAATTGTACACTAGGTTTTTAAAGGTGAATTTCATGGTATATGAATTATATCTCAATAAAGCTGTTATTTTTAAAAAGTAGCTATAATAAAAGCAACAGATAAGTGTTGGCAACAATGTGGGGAAATCAGAACCCTCATACACTGCTGGTAGGACTCTAAAATGGCACAGCCACTTTGGAAAACAGTCAAGCAGTACCTCAAAAAACGAAACATAGTCACCACGTGTTCTAGTCCATTTTCATACTGCTATGAAGAAACACCTGAGAGTGGGTAATTTATAAAGAAAAAGAGGTTTAATGGACTCAGTTCCACATGGCTGGGGAGGCCTCACAATCATGGCAGAAGGCAAAGGAGGGGCAAAGGCACATCTTATATGGTGGCAGGCAAGAAAGTGTGTGCAGGGGAACTGCCTTTTATAAAACCATCAGCTCTCGTGAGACTTATTCACTCTCACAAGAACAGCATGGGAAAAACCCATGATTCAATTACCTCCCACGAGGTCCCTCCCATGACACATGGGGATTATGGGAGCCACAGTTCAAGATGAGATTTCAATGGGGACACAGGCAAACCATATCACCATGTAACCCAGCAATTTCACTCCTAGCTATATATGCGAAAGAGTGAAAAATGGGTACTCAAAATAAATACTTGTACACAAATTGTTCACAGGAGCATTATTCACAATAGCCAAATTCAGAAACCACTCAAATGTCCATCAAGTGATGAATGGATAAATAAAATGTGTATATCCATTCAACAAAATGTTATTTGGCCACACAAAAAAATATAGTACTGATAAATGCTACAGTAATGACGAGCCTTGAAACCATTATGTTAAGTGAAAGAATCCAGCCACAAAAGATGAACTAGTGTATGATTCCATTTATATGAAATGTATAAGAATAGACATATCCATGGATACAGTGTAGACTACTGATTGCCTAGGGTTGGGAAAGATGAGAGGATTTGGGGATGATGGCAAGGGGTATGCAAATTTCTCTGTGGGCTGATGAAAATGTTCCAACATTGATTGCGGTGATGGTTGCATAACTGTGAATATACTCAAAGCCATTGGATTGTACAGTTTAATGGGTGAATTTTATATGTGTAATGTATTTCAATAGACCTGTCATTCAGGCCAGACACAGTAGCTCATGCCTGTAATCCCAGCCCTTTGGAAGGCTGAGGCGGGGGGATCGCTTGAGCCCAGGAGTTGGAGACCAGCCTGGGCAATATGGTGAAACCCCATCTCTACAAAAAATACAAAAGATTAGCCAGGAATGATGGTGCATGCCTGTTGTCCCAGCTACTTGGGAAGCTGAGGTGGGAGGACTGCTCAACCAGGAAGTCGAGGCTGCAGTGAGCTGTGATTGCACCACTGCACTCTAACCTGGGCAACAGAGCAAGACCCTGTCTCAAAAAAATAAACAAATAATAATTTAAAAACAATACAGCTGTTATTTAAAATGCCACAAGAAATAGAGACACTTCCAGATTATCAAAAAAACAATAGTTTGTCATCAGCAGACTCATACAGTATGGGAATCATAATGTATTCACACTGTAAGTGGAATCATACAGTATTTGCCTTTTCGGGACTGGCTTATTTCACTCAGCACAGTGTTCTCAAGCTTTATCTATGTTGTGAGACATGTGTCAGAATTTCCTGTGTGCAGAGCTCGCTGCAGCCTCAATCTCCTGAGCTCTAATGATCCTCCCACCTCTGCCTCCGGAGTAGCTGGGATTACAGGTATGAGTCACCATGCCAGGCTCCTTCCTTTATTATTATTAATATTTTTTGAGATGGAGTCTTGCTCTGTTGCCCAGGCTGGGGTGCAGTGGCGCAATCTCAGCTCACTGCAACCTCTGCCTCCCGGGTTCAAGTGATTCTCCTGCCCGAGCCTCCTGAGTAGCTGGGATTACAGGTGCGTGCCATCAAGCCCAGCTAATTTTTCTGTTTTGTATTTTTAGTAGAGACGGGGTTTCACCATGTTGGCCAGGCTGGTCTTGAACCTGTGACCTTGTGATCTGCCTGTCTCAGCCTCCCAAAGGGCTGGGATTACAAGTGTGAGCCACCGCGCCTGGCCGCTCCTTCCTTTTTAAGGCTGAATAATATCTAACTGTAGATACATACCACATTTTCTTATCCATTCAAGGACGTTAGGGTTGCTTCCACCTTTTGGCTATTGTGAATAATGCTGTTATGAACATGGGTGTACAAATATCTTTTTGAGAATTGCTGAATCATATGGTAATTTATGTTTAATTTTTAAGGAACCACCACACTGTTCTCCACAGTGGTTGCACCATTTCACATTGCTATAAATAATGCACAGGGCTTCCCATTTTTCCACATCCTAATTTCTCCACATCCTCAGCAACACTTGTTATTTTCTGGTTGTTGTTTTGTTTTATAACAGGCATTCTAACAGGTGTGAGGTCTTATCTCCTGGTTTTGATTTGCCTTTCTCTAATGATTAGTGATAATAGGCATCTTTTCATTTGCTTATTGGCCATTTGTATATCTTCTTTGGTGAAGTGTCTATTCGAGTCCTTTCTCTATTTTCTAAATGGGTTATTTGTTGAGCTGTATGAGTTTTTGTTTTGTTTTGTTTTGTTTTGTTTTGTTTTGTTTTTTGAAACAGGGTTTCACTCTGTCACCCAGGCTGGAGTGCAACAGCTCACGGCTGCCTCGACCTCCCGGGCTCAAGTGGTCCTCCCACCTCAGCCTACGGAGTAGCTGGGACCACAGCAAAGTACCATCACACCTGGCAAATTTTTAAATTTTTTGTAGAGCCAGGGTTTCACCATGTTGCCTAGGCTGGTCTCCAACTCCTAGGCTCAAGAAATTCTCCCGTCCCGGCAGCCTCCCAAAGTGCTGAGGAGTTCTTTATATATCCTGGGTATTAACCCTTTATCAAATATATCATTAATTGGAAGAGCTTGAGGAAAATTGGACTTAATTCTTCTTTAAATATTGGTTAGAAATGACCAGTGAGGCCATCTGGCCCTGAGCTTTTCTTTGTTGGGTGATACCTGATTACTAACTCAATCTCCTTACTAGTTATAGGTCTGTTCAGATTTTCTGTTTCTTCATGATTCTGTCTTGGTGGTTATGTGTTTTGAGGAATTTATCCATTTCATTTATGTTATCAAATTTGTTGGCATACATTTGCTCACAATATTCTCTTATAAATCTTTTTACTTCTGTAAATCAGTTATAATGTCCCCTTGTTCACTTCTGATTTTAGTAATTTGTCTTATTTTTTCTTAGTCCATCTGGCTAAAGTTTTATCAATTTTTTTATCATTTCAAAGAATCAATTCTGTTTTGTCAATTTCTCTACTGCTTTTCTAGTCCCTGTTTTGTTTATCTCTGCCCTAATATTTATTATTTCCTTGTTTCTGTAGCTTTGGGTTTGGTTTGTTCTTTTTACTGTTCCTTTAAGTGTGAAGTTAAATTGTTGATTTCAGATCTTTCTTTTTTAATGTAAGCATTTGTAGCTATAAATTTCCTTTCTAGTACTGCTTTCACTGTATTCCATGAGTTTTGGCATGTTGTGTTTTCGTTTTCATTGTCTCAAGATATACTCTAATGTCTCTTGTTTTCTTCTTTAATCCATTGGTTCCTCTGTCCTTTAAAGTGTTCCCATCAGGCACTTTCTTATTACCTGGCACAACATTCATGGTCTTCATTTACTTTTCCTGCTTCAGCCATAGAATCACCATTTCCTCAAACAGCCTTCATTTATTTTAATGAGGAAAAATCTTTAAAATCTAAGACCTGGCCATTAGATATGATCTGCTACTTGCATATCATTGCTCCTAGGCCCTTTTAGTAGACAGATCTAGGAAATATAAACACTTCTATCTATTTCTGTATCTACAGCTATACATCCATTGATCTATCCATCTATCTTAAAATTCATAGAAAAAACCATCATATATTTATTCATTTATTCAATCTGAAACTATAGGAAGTAATTTCAAATTGCTACACTCCTGTCACTAAAAAAAAAAAACCTACTAAGAAGAGTTCAAAATTCAGTTGCATTTCTTTCTTCAGATTAAGGGTACATAATTAAAGTACTATATTCAAAAGTTACTTGATTGGTCAGTCCCACCTCACCTTCAGGGTGATTACATTCATCATTTGAATTAGATTAGTTTGTGTTTGTACTGTTCTTGTGGATTTGATTTTTGAATATATAAAACATTTACATAGTTCTAAAAGTTAAAACTACATAAAAGACTGTTTTTCCCCACAGAGAAGTGTTCTTCCCTCTCCATCCTTTGCCATCTACTTCCTGTGGGTTATCAATTTCAATAATTTCTGATTTATCTTTCCTGTTTTTCTTTTTGCAAAATAAGCAGACATTAGAGTCTCATATTTTCCCTTCTTTCTTACATAAAAAATAGCACACTGTATGTACGCTTTCCATTCATGTTAGAAATCACTCTACACCCGTTTGCAAAGATTTTCCTCATTCTTCTTTACAGCTGTACAGTACTCCATTGTGTAGATATTTACCAACAAATTTCCTGTATGGACATTTAAGGTATTCCCTGATATTTTACAATTACAAATAATGCTGCAACAAATAACTTTGTGCATTCATATTTCCCTACTGTTGAAAACGTAAGGCCGGGCACGGTGGCTCA
This sequence comes from Homo sapiens, assembly GCF_000001405.40. Classification (NCBI taxonomy): domain Eukaryota; kingdom Metazoa; phylum Chordata; class Mammalia; order Primates; family Hominidae; genus Homo; species Homo sapiens. The sequence continues at coordinate 90,736,539 of NC_000015.10, read as the reverse complement.
CACCTGTCATCCCAGCAATTTGGGAGGCAGAGACAGGATTGCTTGAGTCCAGGAGTTCAAGACCAGCCTGGGCAACATGGTGAGACTCCGTCTCTATAAAAAAAATTTTTAAATTAGTAAGGCGTGGTGGCATGCACTTGTGGTCCCAGCTACTCCAGAGGCCAAGGTGGGATCAATTGAGCCTGGGAGTTTGAGCTGCAGTGAGCCAAGATCACACTACTGCACTTCAGCCTGGGCAACAAGCAAGACCCTGTCTCAAAAAAAAAGGAAAGAAAGAAAAGAAAATGTATCTTTAGGGAATATTTCTACAAGTGGAATGGCTGGGTCAAAGGGCAAATGCATGTGTAGTCTGCTGGATTGCCAACTTCTCCCTCAAAGGAGGTTTTACAAGTTTGCATTCCTCACAGCCTCACCAATGGGGCTTCTTGTGAAGCTTTCTAATTAGTGCAGAGCTGATAGGTGAGAAACGGTATTTCAGTGCAGCTTTAAATTTACACTTCCTGTTTAGGTGAAATTGAATATTTTCTTCACATATTTAAGGATGGTTTTTGAATCTTTTTAAAAAATTGTATCTGCTCATGTATTCTGCCTTTTTAACCAAATTTTAGTATTTTTTTCTCTCAATTTAGACTAGGGATAGTAGGTCTTTAAAATGTATTTTGCAGATTTTTTTCCTGGTTTCTCATCTATCTTTTAAATTTGCTTATGGTGTTTTTCATTTTTGTAATCAAGAATTTGCTTTTCAATGTAGCCAATTTTTCCCCCTCTTTTATTGCCCTTCTCCACATCCAGGTTACAGAAAACTCATCTATGTATTCTTCTAGTAGGTAATTTAAAAAAAATTAGATTTCTGGTTCATTTGGAGTTTATTCCTGTGTCTGATATAAAGTATAGATATAATTTTGTTTTTTCAAGTGGCTAACAAGTTGTCCCAGCACTATTTATAAAGAGTCCATCTCTGCCCTAATAATTTCAGAACTACCTTTATCATACACTAAATTCTTCATGTGTTTAGGAGACTAATTATTGACTTTCCATTCTATACCATTGGTCTATACCACAATATTATCATGATAGAAGCTTTGCAACATGTTACAATATCTGGAAGTCTACTTTCTCTTTGTAGCTCTTCTGTTTTCCTATTCTTATATGTTTATTTTTCTATATGAACTTTAGAATCAACTTGTCTAGTGCCAGAACTCTGTTGATATTTATATTGAGATTGCATTAAATTTATATATTAACTTAGGTATATGTATTAACTTAAATATATATATATATATATATATATATATATATATATTAACTTAGGCACTTTTATGATGTTGTTGTCCTGTCCTAGAACAAAAGATTTCATTTGTTTAAGGCTATTTTTGTTATTCAGAAGTGTTTTAAAGATTTCTTCACCTAGGTTTTACATGTTTTTAAATTCCTAAATATTTTCTCTTTTTCTTGTTGCTGTAAATGGGATTTTACCCTTCATTATATATTCAAACTTGTTGTGTATATGAAGACTACTGATTTTTGCATATTCTTATAAAATTCCTTTTCTGTTTAGTTAGTTTCATTATTGATTTTCTGCAGTATTCCAGACACACTACCATATCACCTGCAAGTAGGGACAATATTACTTTTTATTTTCCAAATCTTGTGCCTCTAATTGATTTATCTAACTGCATTGGCTAAGCCCCCAGTACAATGTTAAATACAAGTGGAGTTGGTGAGTATCTCTATATTTTTCTCAATCTTAGTAAAAATGCCTCTAGTATTTTCCTATTAGATAAAATACAGGATTTAGGAATAAAGTCTCTCTCTCTCTCTCTCTCTCTCTCTCTCTCTCTCTGCGTGTGTGTGTGTGTGTGTGCGTGCGTGCGCGCGTGTGTGTGTATGTGTGCGTGAGAGACAGAGACAGAGAGAGAGAGAGAGAATACCATCATTAAGAAGTATTGATTGGCCAGGCATGGTGGCTCACATCTGTAATCCCAGCATTTTGGGAGGCCGAGGTGGGCAGATCACCTGAGGTCAGGACTTTGAGACCAGCCTGGCCAAGATGGTGAAACCGCATCTCTACTAAAAATACAAAAATTAGCCAGGTGTGGTGGTGGGCGCCTGTAATCCCAGCGACTTGGGAGGCTGAGGCAGGAGAATGGCTTGAACCTGGGAGGTGGAGGTTGCAGTGAGCTGAGGTCATGCTACTGTACTTCAGCCTGGGCGACAGGGTGAGACTCCATCTCAAAAAAAAAAAAAGAAGTATTGATTACAATATAATTTCTTAAGAGTTTTTACTATATATTGGTGTTGAATCTTGTCAAAGGCTTTTTCAGCATATATAAAAGTAAATATATGACTGTTCTCCTTAGGTTAATTAATATGGTGAATTACATTGATGATTCTAATGTTAAACCATCTTTGCATTCCTGGTATACATCTTGGTGATGAGCTAATAGTTTTGTAATAGAGTGCTGGATTCTGTTCTGTTTGGTAGTATTTTATTTAGAACTTTTACATAATTTTTATACATAATATTCATCTGTAATTTTCTTTGTGCTACCTTTAATTTTTATGTTAAATATTTGTTTTATACTTGCTTCATAAAAACCGATATAAAATAATTATGCTGTGTAAAAGAAGTGAGATACAAAAGAATACACACTGTATTATAACATTTATTAAAAGTCCTAGAACATGCTAATTATTCTACAGTGACAGAAACCAGATAAGTGGTTGACCGGCAAGAAGAGAGCAAGAAGGCAGAATTAAGGGGGATGAGGAAACTTTTGAGAGTGATGGATATGTTCATTAACTGAATTATGGTGATGATGTGTGTATGTCAAAACTGAACAAATTGTATACTTTAAATACGTGCAGTCTATATCAATAAAGCTACTTTAAAAAAGAGGGTCTAAGAACTAAAAAGTGTTTTAAGATGTTTTACTTTATTTCACTTCAGCCCTTCAACAACTGGAGACAGACAACTAAATCAGCATTTACAATACCAAGCCATTTGGAAAATAAAGAATTTGGAAGTTTTCCTTCTTTTCTACGTTCTAAAACAATTTATTTAGCATTAGGATTATTTGGACTCCATAAATGTAGTAGAATTTTCCTGTTAAACCATTTGGACCTCATGTTTTTTATTTTTCAGTGAGACAGTTATTTCATAACTTTAAAAACTTATTCAATGGAAATTGAGCTATTTAACTTCCAACATCTACTTGAGTCAATTTTGGTAAACTAGATTTTCACACATAATTATCCATTTCATTTTAGTTTTCAAATTTGTTTACGTAAAGGTACATAAATTAATCCTGTTATAAAAACTATCCTGTGTCAGTGGTTACTTACCACTTACCATTTCTTATTCTGTATATTTGTAATTTCTATTAGGCTAATTTATTTGCTTCATTAAACAATTCAAGATACACATCTTTTTTTTTTAATTTTTTTGAGACATAGTCTCACTCTGTCACCCAGGCTGCAGTGCAGTGGCACGATCTCGGCTCACTGCAAACTCTGCCTTCCAGGTTCAAGCAATTCTCCTGCCTCAGCATCCCGAGTAGCTGGGATTACAGGTGCATGCCACCACGCCTGGCTAAGTTTTTGTATTTAGTAGAGACGGGGTTTCACCGTGTTGGACAGGATAGTCTTGATCTCCTGACCTCGTGATCTGCCTGCTTCGGCCTCCCAAAGTGCTGGGATTACTGGCATGAGCCACTGCGCCCAGCCAAGATAAAAATCTTAATTTTTGAATCAGATGTTTTCCTGTTCTCTTACTAATTTCTCTTTTTATCTTTATTATTTATTCTCTTGTGCTTTCGATTTACTTGTTTTTCTTTTCCTAACTTTCTAAGTTTGGAATTTATTTCATTATTTCCCTTTCTTCATTTATAATATGTACTGAAGATTATAAATTTTCCCCTGACTAGTGCCTTACCTTTTTTTTTTTTTTAAGAATCTGATATGCTGTGTTTTCATTTCGTTAATTTTCAGAAATCCTTTATTTCAGTTTCTGTTTTCCTTACATCCAATAGTTGTTTTCAATTTTCCAGATGGAAGGGCCTTTCTGCTTTTTTATAAATTTCATTTTTAATTTCTAGTTTTGTTGCATGGTGATCAGAATTATAATATTTCTACTTTATGAAATTACTAATGTTTTCCTTGTTACCTAATATATGAACTATTTTTATGAATGTAAATTGTTTACTTGGGAAGATGATATACTGCACTAATTCTTCAACTTTTCTGTAGGTTTTCTTTTCTGTAGATTTTTAAAATTTCAAAATAAAGAAAATGAGATCTAGAAAATCCCTTTGTATTGAAAATCAAGAAATATACTTGTGAATAAGCCATCAGTCAAGTAAGATATCATAGTGAGTATTCAAATATACTTTAAACTGAATAATGGAAATCTACACATAAAAATATCTAATATGCAACTAAAGAAGTAGTTACAAGAAAATGGATGACCCTAATTATTAGAAAAGAAACTGAAAAAATAAGCCTGATGAAAATAGAAGGGAGGCAGTTTTAAAGAGAAGAGGGTCAGACGCATTGGCTCATGCCTGTAATCCCAGCACTTTGGGAAGCCAAGGCAGGTGGATCACTTGAGGCCAGGAGTTCAAGACCAGCCTTGGCAACATGGTGAAACCTCATCTCTACCAAAAATACAAAAATTAGCCAGTTTCATAAACCGGTCTCAAAATAAATAAATAAATAGATTTTTAAAAAAATTTTTAAGAGTAAAAAATAATAGATATATAATAGAGAGGATCAATAAACCAAGTTTGTTCTGTAAAAAGACAAAAAAGAAGAGATTGAAAGACGAGATTTAATTACATATGCTATAGACATTAAAAGATAACATTAGGCTGTTATGAACAACTTTGCATCAATAAATTTTAAAATTTAGATGAGATGGACACATTCCTTAAAAATTAACTTATCAAAACTCACTCAAAAATAAACAGAAAACCTAATAGCCTTATAACCATTAAAGAAGTCCTATTGATGGTCAAAAATCTACCCACAAAGATAGCATCAAGACCAGAGTGGCGCAGGTGAGTTCTTCTAAGCACTTATGGCAGTAAAATATTCCAGTTTTACATAAACGATTCCAAAATATAGAAAGAACCAACTCCCCAGCTCATTCTGTGAGGCTAGCATAACTCTGATACTAAGTCCTGTAAGGGCAACTCCTCAGTGAAAAACTCCAGGCTAATTCTTTTTCATAAATGTAGATGCAAAAGTCCCAAACAATATGTTAGCAAAGTAAATCTAGCCATGTATAAAATACACCAAGAGCCACGGGCATGATGACTCACACCTATAATCCCAGCGCTTTTGGAGGCCAAGGCAGGAGGATTGCTTGAGCCCAGGATTGAGACCAGCCTGGGCAGTGTGATTAAATCTCATCTCCACAAAAATTTATAAAAATTAACTGGGCATGGTGACACTTGCCTATAGTCCCAGCTACTTGGGAAGCTGAGATGGGAGGATGACTTGGGAGATCAAGGCTGCAGTGAGCTGAAGTCACACCACTGCACTCCAGCCTGGGTAACAGAGTGAGACCCTGTCTAAAAGGATAAATAAATAAATAAAATAAAAAATACCGAGACCAAGTTGTGTTGTCTAAAAAATGACTCAGAAGTGGTTCAACATTTAAAAATCAATTAATATAATTCACCACAACATTAAAGCTGAACAACCATATCGTCTCAAGACTTCTAGAATAAGCATATGATAAAATCAAACATCCATTCACAGTGAAATCCATTCATAATGAAAACTCTTATCACGCCGGGCATGGTGGCTCATACCTGTAATCCCAGCACTTTGGGAGGCTGAGACGGGCAGATCACAAGGTCAGGAGTTCGAGACCAGTCTGGCCAATATGGTGAAACCCTGTCTCTACCTAAAATACAAAAATTAGCTGGGCGCAGTGACGCAGCCTCTAGTCTCAGCTACTTGGGAGGCTGAGACAGGAGAATCACTTGAACCGGGAGGCGGAAGTTGCAGTGGGCCAAGATTGCGCCACTGCACTCCAGCCTGGGTGGCAGAGCAAGACTCCACCTCAAAAATAAACAACAAAAAAAAACACAACTCTTATCAAACAGGAATAGAAAGGAACTTCTATAACCTGACAGAGAGAATACAGTAAGGTGAAGTTTAGGAAACTTTTCTTTTTAGATCAGGAACAATTCCAGAATGCCCACTATCAATACTTTTATCAGATATATACTGGAAGTCCAAGCCAGAGCAGTAGATCATGAACAATAAATAAAAGGCGTGTTAACTGGAAAGATGTAAAATCATTAATATTCACAAAGGCTATAATTTTGTGTGTGGAACATCTAAAAGAATCTTCAGATTAAATTATTAAAATTCTTGGCTGGATGCAGTGGCTCAAGCCTGTAATCCCAGCACTTTGGGAGGCCGAGGTGGGTGGATCACGAGGTCAGGAGTTCGAGATCAGCCTGGCCAACATAGTGAAACCCTGTCTCTACTAAAAATAAAAAATAAGAAAAAAATTAGGTGGTCATGGTGGCGCGTACCTGTAATCCCAGCTACTTGGGAGGTTGAGGCAGGAGAATCGCTTGAACCCGGGAGGCGGAGGTTGCAGTGAGCCGAGATCACGCCACTGCACTCCAGCCTGGGCGATAGAGCGAGACTTCGTCTCAAAAATAAAAATAAAAATAAAAATAAAAATCTTAAGTGAATGCAGGAGGCAAAATAATGTGACCACCACCACTATCCCCATCTCCCATACCCATCCAAAGATGTCTATATCCTGATCCTTGGATGTTGTGAATATGCTTGGTTACATGACAAAGGTGAATTACTGTCATACGGAATTAAGACTGCTAATAAGCTGACCTTAAAATAGGAAGATTATCCTGGACTAACCAGATGGACCCAATGCAATCACAAGTGTCTTTTTAAGTGGAAGAGGAAATAAGATGACAGACCAGAAAGATGGCAACTTCAGGAGGACTCAAAGTTGCTGGCTTTGATAATGGAGGAGGAAAGCCAAGAGTCAAGGAATACGAATAGTCTCTAAAAGCTGAAAAGGGGAAGGAAATGGATTCTGCCCTTGAGCCTCCAGAAGGGAACTCAGCCTGCCAACACCTTGACTTTAGCCCAATGAAACCCATTCAGACTTCTGAACTACAGAACTATAAGATAATAAATCTATGTTGTTGTTGTTTTTATTTATTTTATTTATTTATTTTGAAACTGAGTTTCTCTCTTGTTGCCCAGGCTGGAGTACAGTGGCGCGATCTCGGCAAACTGCAACCTCTGTCTCCTGGGCTCAAGCAATTCTCCTACCTCAGCCTCCTGAGTAGCTGGGATTACAAGCGCGTACCACCATGCCTGGCTAATTTTTGTATTTTTAGTAGAGATGGAGTTTCGCCACGTTGGCCAGGCTAGTCTCAAACTCCCGACCTCAGGTGACCTGCCCGCCTCGGCCTCTCAAAGTGCTGGGATTACAGGTGTGAGCTACCGTGTGTTATTGTTATTTTTAAACAGAGACAGGGACTCACCGTGTTGCCCAGACTGGTCTCGAATTTCTGGGCTCCCGCGATACTCCCACCTTGGCCTCCCAAACTGCTGAGATTACAGGCATGAGCCAATGTTCCCGGCCTCTATGTTGTTTTAAGCCACTAAGTTTATGGTAATTTATTACAGCAGCTATAGAAAACTAAGACAGTGTGTTTAGGAAGACTGCTGGAGACAAGGTCAATATACAAAAATAAATTGTTTTTCTATATCATCAATAAACAAAAAATAAAATGTCAGAAAACTTTTTAAGATGACATCAAAAATTTAAATACCCGGCCGGGTGCAGTGGCTCATGCCTGTAATCTCAGCACTTTGGGAGGCCAAGGTGGGTGGATCATTTGAGGTCAGGAGTTCGAGACCAGCCTGGCCAACATGGTGAAACCCCGTCTCTACTAAATATATAAAAATTAGCTGAACGTGGTGGCAGTAGTGGCACGTGCCTATAATCCCAGCTACCCGGGAGGCTGAGGCAGGAATATTGCTTGAGCCTGGAAGGCGGTGGTTGCGGTGAGCTGAGATCACGCCACTGCACTTCAGTCTGGGTGACAGAGTGAGACCCTGTCTCAAAAAAAATTTAAAGAAAATAATATATACCTAAAAATACATCTAACAAATTATGTCCTTGATATCTATTCAGAAAATTGGGCTGGGCACAGTGGCTCATGCCTATAATCCCAGCACTTTGGGAGGCCAAGGTGGGCAGATCACTTGAGCCCAGGAGTTTGAGAGCAGCCTGGGCAACACAGCAAAACCCTGTCTCTACAAAAATACAAATATTTGTTGGTCATGGTGGCATGTGCCTATGGTCCCAGCTACTTAGGAGGCTGAGGTGGGAGGATCACCTGAGCCCAGGAGGTTGAGGCTGCAGTAAGCTGTGATTGCACCACTTGCTCTAGCCTGGGTGAGAGAGCAAGACCCTGTCTCAAAAAAAGAAAAGAAAATTGAAAGTCGTTAAGAGAAGTCAAGGAGGGAGGAAACAATCATATGAACCACATTCACATTGGAAGACGATATGGAGATGCTAATTCTCCTCAAATTCATCTATAACTTGATGCATTTCTAATCAAAATTCCAGCTTTTTTTTTTTCTGGAGGAACTTAACAGCTAAGTTCAATATTTTGCTGGAAGAACTCATGGGACTCAGTGTACAGTTGTACTCACAGCTAACATTTATTATATCATCAACACTTTAAGGATACACAACCAGATCAGCAAGGGAAAAAAAAACACATCAGGTAGTGTCTGTAGGAATTCACGTGCAGGCTTCCAATGCTCTCTAACCCCTGAGAAAGTGCATGTTCTCTCAGTGAAAATGCAGCTATGTGTGTGCAATGTTTCTGCCCAAAAGAAGCTGGTTAGAGACTCTGAATCTAGGGGTTTTATTGAGGGCTGGTCACTTAGGCACCTTCCTCCCACCAAAATTTCAGACTCTCAGAAGGAAAACAGGTATTAGTAAAACAACCTGATCAGTGTAGGAAAGGTTTCAAAAGCCAAGTTCTCAGACACAGCCAGGGACCAATTTTGCAAGCAGGCTTTTCTGAAGGTAACAGTTTCAGGCCTACTATATTAGCTCATTCACGTACAAGTTATATCTATGAAATATAACATACAATAATTCACAATAAAAGATGTTAAAAAAAATAGTGCAAATCAAAACCACAATTAGGGCCAGGCACAGTGGCTCATGCCTTGAATCCTAGCACTTTAGGAGGCTGAGGCGGGAGGATTGCTTGAGGCTAGGAGTTCAGGACCAGCTTGGGCAACACAGCAAGACTCCGTCTCTACAAAAAATTTTAAAAATTAAAAAAACAAAAACAAAAACACAATGAAGTATCATCCTACCCCAGTTAAGAAAGCTATTATCAAAAAGACAGAAAATAACAAATGCTGGTGAGGATGCAGAGAAAAGAGAACTCTTACACTTCCACTGATGGTGAGAATATAAACTAGTACAGCCACTATGGAGAACAGTATGGAAGTTCCTCAAATAACTACAAATAGACCTACCATATGATTCAGCAAACCCACTACTGAACACTTATCCAAAGGAAAAGATGTCAGTATATCAAAGAGACATCTGCACCCCCATGCTTACTGCAGCACTATTCACAATAGCCAAGATACGGAATCAACCAAGGTGTTCAACAAGCGATGAATGAATAAAAAAATTATAGTACATTTATACAACAGAATACTATTCAGCCATAAAAAAGAATAAAATCCTGTTATTCACAGCAACATGGAACCTGAGGACATTGTGTTAAGTGGAATAAAGAACAGAAAGTTAAACACCATATGTTCTCACTCATATGTGGAACCTAAAAATCGTTGCTCTCATAGAAGTAAAATCTAGAACAGAGGACACTGGAGGCTGGGAAGGGTAGGGGCAGATTTGTTAAAGAATACAAAATTGGCTGGGTGTGGTGGCTCATGCCTGTAATCCCAGCACTTTGGGAGGCCGAGGTGGGTGGATCACCTGAGGTCAGGAGTTTGAGATCAGCCTGACCAACATGGAGAAACCCCGTCTCTACTAAAAATGCAAAATTAGCCAGGCATGGTGGCGCATGCCTGTAATCCTAGCTACTTGGGAGGCTGAGGCAGGAGAATTGCTTGAACCCAGGAGGCAGAGGTTGCAGTGAGCCAAGATTGTGCCATTGCACTCCAGCCTGGGCAACAAGAGTGAAACTTCATCTCAAAAAAAGGAAAGAAAAGAATATAAAATTACAGCTAGATGGGAAGAATAAGTTCTGGTGTTCTGTAGCACTACAGGATGACTACAGTTAACAATAATGTACTATACAGTTTCAAATAGCTAGAAGGAGGATATTGAATGCTCCCAACACAAAGAAATGATAAATGTTTTAAGATGATAGATATGCTAATTACCCTGATCTGATCATTATACAGTATATGTATCAAAATATCACTATGTACCCCATAAATTGTTGGGGTACAATTATGTCACTTTAAAGAAATGTAAAAATAAAAAAAGTCATTGACTAAAATTATGTTAAATCCACTTAAAAAGCCAAAGTAGAAGATATCTGCTACACCTATGTAAATGTGTATGTACGTATATATAAAAATGTAGATAACTATATATAAATATGTTTATATGTACATAAAACAGAGACAACTTAATAGAGAAGACAGAAAAAAAGGGACTGTAGGCTGGGCGCGGTGGCTCACGCCTGTAATCCCAGCACTTTGGGAGGCCGAGGCGGGTGGATCACGAGGTCAGGAGATTGAGACCACCCTGGCTAACACAGTGAAACCCCGTCTCTACTAAAACAATCCAAAAAAAAAAAAAAATTAGCCGGGCATGGTGGCGGGCGCCTGTAGTCCCAGCTACTTGGGACTTGGGAGGCTGAGGCAGGTGAATGGCGTGAACCCGGGAGGCGGAGCTTGCAGTGAGCCGAGATGGTGCCACTGCACTCCAGCCTGGGCAACAGAGTGAGACTCCGCCTCAAAAAAAAAAAAAGGGACTGTAAAAAAGAGGAAATAGCCCATAAACACATCAGGGTACTCATCTTCACTAATAATCAGAGAAATGAATGCTACCAGAAAATACTACTATACATGAATATACCAGATTGGAAAATAAAAATGTAAATATAAAGTATTAGCCAGCATGCAGAGCAACGGAAAATCTAATACATTGGTGGGAGTGCAAGCACTTTTGAAAACAATTTAGTATTACATAGTAAGGTAAAACATACACACTCTTTGACCTATCAGTTTGTAATTAATTCAATAAAACCTTCCTCTGGGGGCCGGGCGTGGTGGCTTATGCCTGTAATCCCAGCACTTTGGGAGGCCGAGACGGGCAGATCACCTGAGGTCAGGAGTTTGAGACCATCCTGGACAACATGGCAAAACGCTCTCTCTACTAAAAATACAAAAATTAGCCAGGCATGATGGTGCACACCTATAACCCCAGCTATTCAGTAGGCTGAGACATGAGAATCTCTTGAACCCAGCTGGTAGAGGTTGCAGTGAGCCAAGATCATACCACTGCACTCCAGCCTGGGCGACAGAGTGAGACTCCTTCTCAAAAAACAAAACAAAACTTCCTCTGGGTAGGACAAAGGGGCTGGGGAGTGACTTAATCACCAATGGCCAATTATTTAATCAATCATGTCTAGGTAAGGAGGCCTACGTAAAAACCCAGAAGGATAGGGCTCAGGGAGCTTCTAGGTTGGTGAGAACATGTAGAGATGGTGGGAGGCTGGTGTGCCTGGAGAGGGCATGGAAGTGCCACACCCCTTCCCACATACCTTGTCCTGTGTATTTCTTCCAGCTGGCTGCTTCTGAGTTGTTTATAATAAGCTGATAATCTAGTAAGGAAACTGTTCTGTGACTGAATGTGGAGGACTTACCACTTGTGCTTGTAGTCTGAAGTGGGGGGTCTGGAATGCGGGTGGACAGGGAGGACTTAACATTTGGGGTCTGCACTAACACCTGGCAGTTAGTGTCAGACCTGAGCTAAATGTAGGACACCCAGTGTCTGCTAAAGAACTGAACTATTGTGGGGAAAAAAAACACCACACATTTGGTGACAGAAGTGAGGAATTATTATATGGGTACAGAGTAGAGAGGAAATGGAGTTTTCTTTACAGTGGTATACGCATAGAATGAAATATTCAGCCTTTAAAAAGAAAAAAATTGACTAGATGAAGTGGCTCATGCTTGTAATCCCAGCACTTTGGGAGGCCAAGGCAGGAGTATCGCTTGAGCCCAGGAGTTTGAGACCAGCCTAGGCAACAAAGCAAGACCCAGTATCTACAAAAAATAAAAAAGTTAGCCAAGCATGGTGGTACACTCCTGTAGTCTCACCTTCTCGGGAGGCTGAGGCAGAAGGATCATCTGAGCCCAGGAGTTAGAGGCTGCAGTGAGCAACGATCATTCTACTGCACTCCAGCCTGGATAGCTGAGCAAGACCCTGTCTGAAAAATAATAAAATACAATACAATTAAGTTAAATAATAAAAAATTAAAAAAAAAATCCTGCAACATGAGATGACACAGATGAACCTTGAAGCCATTAAGCAAAGTGAAGTAAGCCAGTCACAGGACAAATACTACATGATTCCACTGCAACGAGGTATCTAAAATAGGCAAACTCATAGAAGCAAAGAGGGGCACAGTGGTTGCCAGGGTAGGGGCTTTCAGGAAATGGGGAGTTGTTAATCAAAAAGTATAAAGTTTCAGTAATGCAAAATGAACGCATTCTAGAGATCTGCCATACAACATTGTGGCTGTGTGGTACTATACATGTAAAACTCTGTTAAGAGGTTAAGAAAAACAATTTAAAAAAATTTTTTTTTAGAGACAAGGTCTTGCTCTGTCACTCAGGCTAGAGCGCAGTGGCACAATCATAGTTCACTGCAGCCTCAGACTCCTAAGCTCAAGTGATCCTCCTGCCTCAGCCTCTGGAGAATCTGGAACTACAGGTGCATGACATCATGCTCAACTAATTTTTTAAATTTTTTATAGAGACAAGTCTCCCATTGTTGCCAGACTGGTCTTGAACTCCTGGCCTCAAGAGATCTTGCTTCCTCAGCCTCCCAAAGTGCTGGGATTACAGAAGTGAGCTACCATGCCCAGCCAAAATTACTATTAAAAAAAAAAAAAAAGAAAAGAAAAACTATATCTACAACGTGGAAGAATCTCACAAACATAATAACGCAAACTAGAAAGACTCAGTAGAATGCATATAGTATTATCCCATTTACAGAGCTCAAAACCAGGCAAAACTGAGCTATATTATTTATAGATGTATAGATCAGGGCAAACTATGAAGACAAGAAAAGCATTATCACAAAAATTGGGACAATAGGGCCAGGAGCGGTGGCTCATGCCTGTAATCCCAGCACTTTGGGAGGCCGAGGCAGGCAGATTACCTGAGGTCAGGAGTTTAAGACCAGCCTGGCCAACATGATGTAACCCCGTCTCTACTAAAAATAGAAAAAATTAGCCAGCCATGGTGGCAGGCGCCTGTAATCCAAGCTACTTGGGAGGCTGAGGCAGGAGAATTGCTTGAACCCAGGAAGCAGAGGTTGCAGTGAGCCGAGATCGCGCCACTGCACTCCAGAATGGGCAACAAGAGCAAAACTCCGTCTCAAAATAAATAAATACATAATTGGGACAATAGTTATCCCTAACATAGGGAGGAGGTATCAGAAAGATACACTTCTGGGGTCCTGGGATCCTGGTAATATTCTATTTCTTTCTTGATCTAGATGATAGTTATGTGTAACTATAATTTTATAATGAGTCTTCAATTTACCATGAATACAATATAATTTTTATGCATAACTAAACTTTGTAATTTCTTTGTAACTATTCTTTAAATTATGTAACTTTTTTTAAATTATTTTATTTTTTTGAGACAGAGTCTCATTCTGTTGCCCAGGCTGGAGTGCAATGGCGTGATCCTGATCTAGGCTCACTGCAACCTCCGCTGCCCAGGTTCAAGTGATTCTCCTGCCTCAGCTTCACAAGTAGCTGGGATTACAGACATGGGCCACCATGGCCAGCTAATTTTTGTATTTTAGTAGAGATGGGCTTTTTGCTGGGCACGGCGGCTCATGCCTGTAATCCCAGCACTTTGGGAGGCCGAGGTGGGTGGATCATGAGGTCAGGAGATCGAGACCATCCTGGCTAACACAGTGAAACCCGGTCTCTACTAAAAATACAAAAAATTAGCCGGGCCTGGTGGCAGGTGCCTGTAGTCCCAGCTACTTGGGAGGCTGAGGCAGGAGAATGGCATGAAGCTGGGAGGCGGAGCTTTCAGTGAGCCAAGATTGCGCCACTGCACTCCAGACTGGGAGAGAGAGTGAGACTCTGTCTCAAAAAAAAAGAGATGGGGTTTCACCCTGTTGGCCAGGCTGGTCTCGAACTCCTGCCCTTAAGTGATCCACCTGCCTCAGCCTCCTAAAGTGCTGGGATTACAGGCGTGAGCCACTTTAACTCTTGGTTTCCAGCGAAATTATGTATATTTTTACAAATGTATCTTGGTTGTCATAATAAAGAAAATTTTTTTTTTTTTGAGATGCAGTCTTGCTCTGTCGCCAGGCTGGAGTGGAGTGGTGTGATCTCGGCTCACTGCAATCTCTGCCTCCTGGGTTCAAGTGATTCTCCTGCCTCAGCCTCCCAAGTAGCTGGGATTACAGGCATGTGCCACCATGCTCAGCTGATTTTTGTATTTTTAGTAGACACAGGGTTTCATCATGTTGGCCACACTGGTCTCGAACTCCTGACCTCATGATCCGCCCACCTAGGCCTCCCAAAGTGCTGGGATTACAGGCGCGAGCCACTGTGCCCGGCCAATAAAAATATTTTTAAAAGAAAAATTAGGCTGGATGCAGTGGCTCACACCTGTAATCCCAGCACTTTGGGAAGCCAAAGTGGGTAGATCACCTAAGGTCAGGAGTTTGAGACCAGCCTGACATGGTGAAACCCCATCTGTACCAAAAATACAAAAATTAGCCGGGCGTGGTGGCGGGTGCCTGTAATCCCAGCTACCCAGGAGGCTGAGGCAGGAGAATGGATTGAACTCGGGAGACGGAGGTTACAGTGAGCTGAGATCACGCCACTGCACTTCAGCCTCAGCAACAGGATGAGACTCCATCTCAAAAAAAGAAAAAAGAAAAGAAAAATTAGCAACAAATAACAGATAAATGATTAATATTAAAAACACATAAAGAACATCCAGTTCCAGTGAACAAATGTTCAGGGAATATAAACACAACAGCTCACCAGAATATACAGACACTAAGTAAATTTATGAAAAAATTGTGAAATTTTTCTAATAATAACATGGAGCATCATTTCATACCTATTAAACCAAAGAGAGAGGAATATTGCGAAAATTTATAAGACAAATGACAAGCATAAAGACTGATTCACTAAAATAAATAATTTATTTAGATTTTTATTTTATTTTTTGGTAGAGACGGGGTTTTGCCATGTTGCCCAGGCTGGTCTTGAACTCCCAGGCTCAAGCAATCCCCAACCTTGGCTTCCCAAAGTGCTGGGATCATAGGCATGTGCTACCGCGCCCAGCCAGGAAATAATTTAATATTGAAAAAAGCAGGCCAGGTGCGGTGGGCTCAAACCTGTAGTCCCAGCACTCCGTGGGCAAACTGCTTGAGCCTACGAGTTCGAGATCAGCCTGAACAACACGGCGAGACCCTATCTCTACAAAAAATCAAAAGCCCATCTCTACAACAAATACAAGAATTAGCCAGGCATGGTGGTACACCCCTGTACTCCCAGCTGAGGTGGGAGGATCACTTGAGCCCGGGAGGCTGGAGCTGCAGTGAGCCCTATCTCAAAAAAAAAGAAAAGAAAAAAAAAATTCCTCAAGTGTCAGGTTTAAAAAGAAAGAAAAAAGAAAAACACTAAGTTATGAATACATTAAGGCTACAGCTACCTAAGAAATCTGTATAGCTAAATCTGTATAACTAATTTTATAGCTGAAATTTGGAAAGGACTCATGGAAAATAAAAATAGTTCAAGTGTTTGAAAGATAGGATTATGACTGGAATATTTTTCTTGACATTGAGAATATGTTTCAATAAAATACGGGAATTTTTAAAGAAAGTAAACTCAATAGTTCCCTGTCATTCCAGAGAACAAAGTCCATATGTCATAACTCCAAGAACTTTCACTCTCTGTCTTCAACTTGTATTTTTCATTCAGCTAATATCTACAGTGACTACTCTGTGCCAGGCATCATGGTAGGCACTGAAGTACAGAGATGGGAAAGACATTATTACTGCCTTCAAGGAGCTTATAGACTAGCAGAAAATAGACATGTCAACAAATAATTACAATGCAACGAGATAAGTCTGACAATCAAGTCTTTTCTTAAAAGACTATGGCTTCCCAGATTAAGGAAAAACAGGCAAATGATAGAGAAGCTTTTCAAAGAACACTGAATTGGATATTGAAGGACAAGTGGAACTTTACAGACAGGACTGAGGTTGTGAAGAAGAGTAGTCTATGAACTAGTGGTACAAAGGCTGAGGTAGAATAGTATGTGTTAGCGATACAGAATGCTCAAAAGCCTCTGGTATCATGCCAAGGAGTTTAGATTTTATCCTACAGGTAGTGGAGACCCTTAGGGGCTTTCAGCACTGAAGTCCTAGGATTATTCTACGATTATCTTGGACCTCTTTATTCTATCCATTTTTCTCTTAGAAAAAAACACATATATATGTAAATTAAAATATATATGTATATCTTTTAATTTTTAATATTTCTTACATAAAGATACAGAAAATAGAATTACACCCATGTACCCACCAACCAAATTTAAAAAGTTAAACTCGGCCCTATTCTCTCTCTTTTAAAGGCATAAAACATTTCAGGTAGATTGACTGACGGACTCTCACTCTGTCACCCAGGCTGGAGTGCAGTGGTGCAATCTTGACTAACTGCAGCCTCCTGGGTTCAAGCGATTCTCGTGCCTCAGCCTCCCCAGTAGCTAGAACCACAGGCGCACACCACCACGCCCAGATAATTTTGTATTTACTATAGAGAGGGAGTTTCGCCATGTTGGTGAGGCAAGTCTCGAACTCCTGGCCTCAGGTGATTCGCCCGCCTCATCCTCCCAAAGTGCTGGGATTATGGGTGTGAGCCACTGTGCCTGGCCTCATTTCAGATATATTTAAAATCTCACTCATGGCCGGGCGC
Source organism: Homo sapiens (assembly GCF_000001405.40). NCBI lineage: Eukaryota > Metazoa > Chordata > Mammalia > Primates > Hominidae > Homo > Homo sapiens. The sequence continues at coordinate 90,719,278 of NC_000015.10, read as the reverse complement.
GGTGGCTCGCCTGTAATCCCAGCACCTTGGGAGGCGGAGGCAGGCGGATCACGAGGTCAGGAGATCGAGACCATCCTGGCTAACACAGTGAAACCCCGTCTCTACTAAAAATACAAAAAATTAGCTGGGCGTGGTGGTGGGTGCCTGTAGTCCCAGCTATTTGGGAGGCTGAGGCAGGAGAATGGCATGAACCCGGGAGGCGGAGCTTGCAGTGAGCCAAGATCGCGCCACTGCACTCCAGCCTGGGCGACAGAGCGAGACTCCATCCCCCAAAAACAAAAACAAAAACAAACTCACTCATTCCAGGAATGACTATGAAAAAGGAAAAAACAGATAAAAATTTAAAAATCAAAACAATAAACTATCACTCATTCCCCTTACCTTTTTCCCTTCCCTTCCTGCTCATAGGTAATACCACCTGTCCTGAAGCGGATGTGTAGAACTTCCCAGCATGATGATGTTCTACTGCACATCTAACACTTTTCCTGATTTTTTAACTCTTGGTTTCCTCAGTAAAACGAAGGAAATAACTACTTCTCCAGGTTACTGATAGGACTGTAAACTATACTTATAAGGTACCTGTCATGGTGAGTGGCATTGAAAGTGACACAGGACCCAGAAATTTCATTTCTTCCCAGTAGATTATAAGCTACTGTCTGACAGTATAAGCAGCCCAGCTAACAAAATGTTGATTTAATTAATTCTATTTACTATTCCCCAAACAGAATACTTTTGCCTACCCGCTTCTTCATCTTCTGATCTCTCATGCAGTCTCTCGAATTCCTGTCCCTTAATCTTGACAGTGACACACCAGTGTTATTTATCTGCATGGGTGGCACAAGGAGCTGTCAGTCACCTGCTCCATCTCACGCCATGAGGTACCTAAAGTTCTGTGTGACCTAAGGACAGGTGAGGGCTATAGGAGAAAGCCTAATGTTGTGGGACATACTTTAAAATCAGGCGCTTAGTTCAAATCCTGTATCTCTAGCACTTAATCACCAAATGCTCTTTCTGTACGGAGACAACCTCTTTGTACTTCAGATTCTCCATGTCTAAAATGGGGACAATTTCATCCGCTTCTCTGGGTAATGATAACAGAACCCTTACTGTGTACTATGTAACAGGTAGCCTTCGAAGCATTTATTATTGCATATATTAAGTCGTTTAATCCTAACAAAAACGCCAGGAAGTAGAAGAGACCATTTCCCCCATATGACAGACGAAAACCAAGACACTTAGTGTTTCAGTAACGTGCAGTAGACACAGAGCTAAATGTGAAGGAGCCAGAATTCGAACCCAAGCAATCTGATGCAGTATTCTTAAGCACTTCGCTTTGCTGGGATATCGTAAAGCTACAGTTGTAAGATCAAGGGTGCCAGGAACATGGCACACAGTAGACACTCAAAAACAAGAGTAGCCCAGCTCGTGATTATGGAAGGCCACAGAAAAAGTACAAAGTGTTTTCGTTGTTCCTCAGGAGGGACACGGAGGTAGTAGTGCCAGAGGTCTGGGCTGGGATTACTCTGTGCAGGGCATCATGTTACGCACTGGAGTATATGGGCAACAACATGCCAGGTCCTAGCCCATGCTCGGCCTCCGACGCCCCGGGAGACCTTGGCAGAGTTCGCCCCCGCCCCGGGCCTCTGTTTCCCCATTTGGGAACGTATTTATGTATCTGCTGTCCTCCCAGGATGTTGGCCAGACTAGAGGACTCAGCGGGCCGAGGCGAACCAGTGCAGGAAACGGAAGAACCCGAGCGGCCTCCAGCTCCGGGCCGGGCCGCCAGAGCAGGGCTAGATCAATGCGGACCGACCCGTAGTTACGCGCGCGGTACTCACCTCGCACGCAGACTCCTAGCGGACGGAACCAGGATCCAAACTTCCCGCGCCGCAACCACGGCCGCCGCGCCAAGCCCTGGCTCACTTCCCGCCGGAAGCTTGCCTATTCCGATTGGCTGCTTCCTGGGGAAGCCGACCAATACTGTCGCACTCGGACATCTGTTCCCGCCCCCTCAGGCTGCTGGGGCGGGGTCGCCGTACAGCGCCGGGAGGGACGCGTATCTCCAAAGCCCAATCAGAGTCCGGACGGGAGGGTCAGATGACTACGGTTACATCTCGGGCTTCCGGAGCTAGTTGGGTCTTTGTTTTTGGTGTTTTAGAGTCGGTGAAGGCTTTAAAGGAAGTAGGCAGCTGGAACCCGGCTGTGGCGGGTTGAAAAGCCCGGGCGTTTGAGAGCTGAGACTTGCCAGTTCCCACAGGCCAAGCCAGGCGTCTGCACCCCATTCTCTTGGTTCCGACGGTGTGTCTCTGCGATGTTTTGGCGGTCTCTCCTCTCCATCCCCTTAATAATACTGGTCTCTGTTTCACCCGTACCCCTCTACACGAGCAGGTGCAAATTGTCATTGAACCGGGAAAGTGGGCACACACTCAGATGCCTCCATGGACACGTGAGAAACCATGCTTCTGTTTCAGCCTATTGCTGACACGCGGGAATGTGGGCCCTGTGATGCCAGATCTTACTTTCTTTCCTTTCTTCCTCTCTTCTCCCCTCTCTACTTCCTTCCCTCTCTCCTTCCCTCCCGCCCTCCCTCCTCTTTGTGTGTGTGATAAAATCTATCTAACATAAAATTCACCATTTTTAAGTGTACAGTTCACTGGCATTAAGTACATTCACATTGTTGTGAAACCATCACCACTATCCATCTCCAGAACTTTTTCATTATCCCAAATAGAAAATCTGCCTGTTACACAGTAACTCCCCGTTACCCGTTTCTCACAACCCCTTATAGCCGATATTGCACTTTCTGTCTGTAAGTGCGAGGTACCGCATATAAATTGAATCATACAATAATTGCTCTTTTCTGATTGGCTTATTTCACTTAGCATAATGTCTTCAAGGAGCATCTATGTTGTAGCATGTATCAGAATTTCTTCCTTCTTGAGGCTAAATAATATTCCATTATACATGTATACTACATTTTGTTTATCCATTCATCCATATAAATGGATGCTTGGTTATTCCCACCTTTTGGCTATTGTGAATAATGCTGCTATGAACTTTGGTATACAAATAATCATTCTCCACATAATACGCAGAAAGAGTTTTCTAAAATGTAAAAATCTGTTCAAGTTACCTCCCTCCTGAAAATCTTCTATGGTAAATTGAAACCAAAATATGATACTATTAAACACTCCATAGAATAGCTGAAATGAAAAGACTGACAATTCCCTTAGTTGCAAAGATGCAGAAATGGGACTCTCATACAGTGTTGATGGGAGTGTAAAATGGTACAACCACTTTGGAAACATCAGTCTCTACTGAAATCAAATTTACCCCTACCCTATACCCCAGAAATCCCATTTCTAGATATTTACCCCAAAAAATGAATGCCTTTATTCACCAAAAGACTCATAGCAGCTTTATTCATAATAGCCAAAGGGAAAAAACCCAGATGTCCACCAATAGATGAATAGATAAATTGCAGCTTATTCATATAACTGTATACTACTGTTGAAGAATAATTTTAATATCAAATATAATACAGATATAAAATAAATGTTAGAGATTTTATTTAACTCATTAATGAATGAGATATCCAGAAAGATTACAACTGCTTCAATGGAAAATTCAAAGTACCACACACATAGTCAAATGAGGAATAATGAAATAACTACAAATATATACAAAAACTGGCAGAACTGATGAAATCCACAGCTTAGTAATCAATTGCATTCTACTGAAAACAATTTGCATTTCTTTTTTTTTTTTTTTTTTTGAGACGGAGTCTCACTCAGCCGCCCAGGCTGGAGTGCAGTGGCGCAAGCTCGGCTCACCGCAACCACCATCTCCCAGGTTCAATAGAGTCTCCCGTCTCAGCCTCCCGAGTAGCTGGGATTACAGGCACCCGCCATCATGCCCAGCTAGCTTTTTGTATTTTAGTAGAGACAGGGTTTCACCGTGTTGGCCAGGCTGGTCTCGAACTCCTGACCTCAGGTGATCCGCCTGTCTTGGCCTCCCAAAGTGTTAGGATTACAGGCATGAGCCACCGTGCCCGGCCACAATTTGCATTTCTATAGACAAGAAGTGTCTATAGTTTGTATAGTTGTTCTGTAGCTCAAAGACAGTGAAAGGTTTAGAGTCTTCATAGAATCAGACATCCTAGAAAAGTAAGCTGGACAGCTGGGCACCTTGTTTTTCAATGACACCCAGTAATCATTTTTTTGTTGTTTGTCTTAGATGGAGTCTTGCTCTGTCACCCAGACTGGAGTACAGTGGTGTGATCTCAGCTCACTGCAACCTCCACTTCCCAGGTTCAAGCGATTTTCCTGCCCCAGCTTCCCGAGCAGCTGGGACTACAGGTACGTGCCACCACGCCTGGCTAATTTATTGTATTTTTAGTAGAGATGGGGTTTCACCATGTGGTCCAGGCTGGTCATGAACTTCTGACCTCAGGTGATCTGCCTGCCTTGGCCTCCCAAAGTACTGGGATTACAGGCTTGAGCCACCATGCCTGGCCCCAGTAATCTGTTTTAGACCATTTCAAAGCTTTTCTCAGTTTTTTTCTGTATTACAAAGTAATAGGAGGATGAACTACTGGTACATACAATATAGATGAAGCTCAGACACTATGCTGAGCACAAAAAGAGGTAGATAAAAGAGTATATAGGGCCGGGCGCAGTGGCTCACGCCTGTAATCCCAGCACTTTGGGAGGCCGAGGTGGGTGGATCACGAGGTCAGGAGATTTGAGACCATCCTGGCTAACACGGTGAAACCCTGTCTCTACTAAAAAATACAAAAAAATCAGTCAGGCATGGTGGCGGACGCCTGTAGTCCCAGCTACTCAGGAGGCTGAGGCAGGAGAATGGTGTGAACCTGGGAGGCGGAGCTTGCAGTGAGCCGAGATCACGCCACTGCACTCCAGCCTGGGCGACAGAGCAAGACTCCATCTCAAAAAAAAAAGAGAAAAAGAGTATATAGTGCATACCAGGTTACCCCTGGAGGCAGAGGTAGATGAGGAAGCTCCCAAGGAAATCTTATGGAGTGCTGGAAATTACATATCTGTCTTATATAGACATTTAATATAGATAAAGTAATATATAAATCATTTATATATAAAATCATTATATACATACAATCATTGAGATATGTATTTTTTCAATTTTTTAAAATTTATTTTTATTTTTTGAGACAGGGTCTGCCTCTGTTGCCCAGACTGGAATGCAGTGGTGCCATCTTGGCTCAGTGCAACCTCCACCTCCCAGGCTCAAGTAATTCACCCACCTCAGCCTCCTGAGTAGCTAGGACCACAGGCACATGCCACCACGCCTGGGTAATTTTTGTATTTTTAGTAGAAATGGGGTTTTGCCATGTTGCCCAGGCTGGTCTCAAACTCCTGGCCTTAGGCGATCTGCCAGCCTCAGCCTCCAAAAGTGCTGGGATTACAGCCGTGAGCCTCCTTGCCTGGCCAAGGTATATATTTAAGATTAAGATGAGTGCACAAGCCTTTCACCACCCTACGCTAACATCTACCTTCCAGGTGGGAGGTAAAGGTTGCAGTGAGCTGAGATCACACCACTGCACTCCACCCTGGGCAGCAGTGAGAATCTGTCTCAAAAAAAAAAAAAACACAGAATCCTTCCAGCAGCTCCCATTTGCCTTCAAGGTGAATACCAAACTCCGATTGAGTCCCTGCTTCCTCTCATATGTCATCTGTCCCTCATCCCCATTTTCCTGTCATTTCCTCAAGGTGTTTTATAGTCTTTCCAGTTTCCTGGCCTTTGCCTCCAAATCATACCTCTCATTCATCTCTCAGGTCTCAGGACAACTTCTCTGCAAGTTGTTGGAGAAGTTGGGAAGTTGGAAAGCCTTACCTAATCCTCCAAATCTGCCTGTGTATCCCTCCTAGGTTTTCCCATAACAGCAGTCAGCATTTGTATTGGTTGTGTTGATACTATTAGTGTGCCTGTCTTCCTCTACAGAATATGCTCTCCATGAGGGTGTTCTTCAGGGCCTACCACAATGGCTGGCACTAGAGAAGGGCACAAAATTGAAGAACAGTGAAGACAAAAGCAATAAGATGATTAAGGCCATGTGAGACAGCAACAATATCAGGTGAATGTCACCCTTTATCGAGTTGTGAGTATCCAGCCTCTCACTTTGGGGGATACTGTTTGAGCCTAAGTAACATTAGTGGCTTTATTCATTTGGTAGATTGTTTGTATCTTTGCGTTGTCTCTATCCTGCTTTTTCCTTGGCCATTTTGCTATTAAAAATCTGTTGATTTACTCTGCATTTTCCCATAGAGAAGGGTAGCCTGAGGAGTTATTTAACAATGATGTGTTTTGGCCAGGCGCGGTGGCTCATGCCTGTAATCCCAGCACTTTGGGAGGCCGAGGCAGGCAGATCACGAGGTCAGGACATTGAGACCATCGTGGCTAACATGGTGAAACGCCGTCTCTACTAAAAATACAAAAATTAGCCAGGTGTCATGGCACACGCCTGTAGTCCCAGCTACTCGGGAGGCTGAGGCAGGAGAATGGCATGAACCTGGGAGGTGGAGCTTGCAGTGAGCCGAGATCGCGCCACTGCACTCCAGCCTGGGGCACAGAGCGAGACTCCGTCTCAAAAAAAAAAAAAAAAAAAAAAGGTGTGTTTTGTTTTTGCAACAAGTAAAAATTGACATATTTCACCCACATGTTCATTAACAGATGAATGAATAAACAAAATGTGGTATATCTAATAAGCTGGGCACAGTGGCCCACACCTGTAATCCCAGCAGTTTGGGAGGCTGAGGTGGGTGGATCACTTGAAGTCAGGAGTTCCAGACCAGCCTGGCCAACATAGTGAAACCCTGTCTCTACTAAAAATACAAAAAAGTTAGCCGGGCATGGTGGCGTGTTCCTGTAACCCCAGCTACTCGGGAGGCTGAGGCAGGAGAATTGCTTGAACCTGGCAGGTGGAGGTTGTAGTGAGCCAAGATCGTGCCACTGCACTCCAGCCTGGGCAACAGAGCGAGGCTCCATCTCAAAAAAAAAAAAAAAAAAAGTAGTATATCCATACAGTGGAGTATCATTCGGCCATGAAAAGGAGTGAAGCTCTGACACATGCTACAACATTCTGAGTCAAATATGCCAACACAAAAAAACAAATACGATCTGACTCCATTTATATGAAAGATTTTGAATAGGCAAATTCATAGAGACAGAAAGTAGATTAGAGGTTTCAGGAACTGAGAGTAGGAAGGAGGGAAGAATGAGGAATTATTGCTTACTGGGTTCATAGTTTCCATTTGGGGGGATGAAAAAGTTTAGAAATTGTGGCAATGGCTGTACAGCATTTTGAATGTAATTAATGCCATTGAGTTCTACTCATAAAAAGGTTAAAATGGCAGTTTATTTCATACATATTTTACCACACACACAAAAAGCAGTTGCTGTGGAAAAAAAAAACACACACACAACATATTTTACACACACACAAAAGCTCCAATCAAAACAGAAATAGATTTTCAGTTTTTCTTAAAAAAGAGGAAAGAAGAAAGGGAGGGAGGGTGTGAGGGAAGGAGAGAAGGAGGGAAGGAAGGAGAGAGGGAAGAAGAGAGGAAGGTACAGAAAGAAAAGAAAGATCTAGCATCATCACAGGGCCCACATTCCCTCAAGAGAACAATAGGCTGAAACAAGTGTGGCTTCTCACGTGTCCCTGGAGGCATCTGAGTTTGTTTCATGTTTCCCCCATCAGTGACAATTTGCACCTGCTCGTGTAGAGAGGTACCTGTGAAACAGAGGCCAGCATTAATAAGGGGGTGGAGAGGAGAGACTGCCAAAGCCTTGCAGAGACAGAAAAAAAAAGTGTGGTTTTCCAGGACTGAAAACTCAGTCGCAGCAGCCCCTCTCTCAGTTGTACCTGTAGGATTTTAATTTATAGAAGCGACTGACTGATGACAGAGAGACTAGTGGCTTTGAAGGAATAATTTATCCACATTTCCTGAGAGGAGGGACACACCACGCCATGCAGGGCCACATGGAGAAGAAGCACCAGGTTTGGTCAGGAGGCAGAAGGGAGTGAAGGGAAAGCTTAAACGAGAACCTTTATTAGCGTTTCAGCAGGGAAGGCAAGGCAGTGCAGGGAAAGTTTGGGACTGGGTGGTCTGAATAATTCTGGTGGGTTTTGGAGATTAGCGGTATCTCTAGGGGTTCTGTAGTACCTAGCCTTGGGTTAATTTAGGGCAGGGGAAATATTGGCTTTGTGTTAGAAAAAGGGGGTAGTTAGAGGTATGGACTTGGGACTAGTTGGAGGGTTTGTAATATAATTTTTTGGGCGCCCACAAAAACAAGATCATAGGAAAGATGTAAACAACTTTGGCTTTTCGTTTGGTCCTGTATGGCCTGAGCCACAGATGCGTTTGGCATAATAGCAGCTTCCTGGCATGAAAGAGCCAAAAAAAAAGACATCAAAAACACTGCCTTTTGCAGTAGACATCTGTAATCTTTGCCTGGGGAAAATCATCCACTTACAGCAGCCTGACACGGCTTTGGAGAGCCACTTTTCTCAATTCAGCCAGGAAACTCATGCCAATGTGGGACTGACTTCTCAAGCCTGGAACACCAGGGGTGGCCCTGCCACGTCAGCCTGGCCAATCAGTATATCCTACTGGCTTGGCCTGATGACTCCAGCTGGGCCAATGAGAGCCCTCCACAGGACTTTGGCTAGAATCTACCGGGAATGTGGTAATAGGTGTGCCCTTTCTGTTGGAGTTCCCAAACTGTTAAGGTGTCATCCTGGATGTGGGACTAGGAGGGGAGCCTGCCTGAGGATGCAGCCACCGGAGAGGAGAGTGCAGGCAAGAGAAGGAGAGAAGCTGGGTTTTGGTGGAATTAATTGTCTGAGGCCCTGGATCCTGCTGTACTGGCAGCCACGTCCTGGACTTTGCAGTCATATAAGCCAATTAATTCCCGTTTATACTTAAAAAAAAAAAGGCGAACTGCAAAACAGTAGCCATAGGATGCTATGTTTATTTAGAGAATGGGGGAAAATGATTCGGATATGTGTCAGCTAGCATATTCATTTAAACTTTTCTAATAAATAAGAAGCTAATAATCATGAATACCTGTTGGGAGTGGGAACTGGGTAGATGGAGGAATGAGTCATAGAAATACTTCACTGTGGCCAGGCGTGATGGCTCACACCTGTAATCCCAACATTTTGGGAGGCCGAGGCCGGCGGATCACTTGGGGCCAGGAGTTCGAGAGCAGTCTGGCCAACATGACAAAACCCCATCTCTACTAAAAATACAAAATTTAGCTGGGCATGGTGGCATGCGCCTCTAGTCCAAGGCTGAGGTGGGAGAGTTGCTTGAACCCAGGAGGCAGAGGTTGCAGTGAGCCAAGATGGTGTCATTGCACTCCACCCTGGGTGACAGTGAGACTCTGTCTCAAAAAAAAAGAAATACTTCACTGTATACCCTTTCATATTTTTTGACATTTGAACATGTGAGAATGTTACCTATCAATAATATTAAATACAGACATTTTATTTTTATTTTTTGTAGAGACAGTCCTGCTGTTGTCCAGGTTGGTCTTGAACTCCTGGCCTCAAGCAATCCTCCTGACTCAGCCTCCCCAAGTGCTGGGATTACAAGTGTGAGCCACTGTGCCCAGCTCAGACTTTTAAAAATACAAAAAACTCGAGGTTTATTTTATAAAGCCCTTAGGAAGAACAAATCCTATTATAGCAAATACATTGAATTTTCAATGTACTGTGCTAGTAAGATATTTACACTCCTAACCACTCAGGAGCAAAGTAAACAAAGAACACTGTTAAGAGACCAGGTAGGTGGAGAAAGATCTCAATTAAACTTAAAGTTATACATAGTCTGCCTTTTGTTATGTTTTCTAAGAATATGTTAGAAGCAGTCTGAGATATTCAGTGGTAAGAACAACGCTCTTCTGAGAATATACGTTGTTATTCACAAGGAAGGATGTAGTAGGTATCAGTAGGTTGTCACTCCTGCTACAACAACCAGAAAAACAAAAACGCACACATACAAAAAAAGGATAAATTATACAAATCACACACACATGTGTATATATTTATAGACAATCTCACTCTTGTCACCTAGGCTGGAGTGCAGTGGCGCCATCTCAGCTCACTGCAACCTCTGCCTCCTGAGTTCAAGTGACTCTCCCACCTCACCCTCCCGACTAGCTGGGACTACAGGTGTGTGCCACCATGCCCAGCTAAATTTTGTATTTTTAGTAGAGATGGGGTTTCACCATGTTGGCCAGGCTGGTCTTGAACTGCCTTGGCCTCCCAAAGTTCTGGGATTCAGGTGTGAGCCACTGCGCCTGGCCCAAGTCCTATTTTTAAAGACATAAGAACATCAGAGAGCAGTGGGATCAGAGAAAGAAGAGCCCATTGCTAGGTGAACTGGGATTGCTGGTCATTTTTCTCCCTGGGTGCATTTGTCAAAGCTGAAGATTGAGTGTGGTTTACACTGAACTTTTGATGGCCTCTCAGGCTATTGTTAACAGATTAGAGTCTAAAGGAGCCTAGATAAGAGGCTTTTTTTCCCATGGGATATTTGCTGAGTGCTGGGGTAGACTGGGGGCCAAGAGCTGCTAAGCTCGAGACCTAGGCTGGAAAGGCAGAGTAAGATCTGCAGTCTCTTAGTTTGGAATGTGGAGTCCCTCTGAAGGGAGGGGCCTGCAAAAAATACATGACAGGTCTCACTCTCTCAAGATAATTAAAAACAGAGGTGGACCACATCTAAGTAAAGCCGTAACTCTTCCAAAATCAGCTCAATTTCTGATTGGATAGAATTATCATTCTTTTGAGGTACATGGGCCAACAGAAAATAGAGTCAACCATTCAGAGAAAAATATTATTAACTTCGACCTTTAAGGTTATTTTATACACAGTATTTGGCATACAATAAAAAAGTATTAGTCGGCAGGGCACAGTGGCTCATACCTGTAATCCCAGCACTTTGGGAGGCTGAGGCAGGTGGATCACTTGAGGTCAGGAGTTCGAGACCAGCCTGGGAAACATAGTGAAACCCCATCTCTAATAAAAATACAAGAATTAGTCAGGTGTGGTGGCGCATGCCTATATTCCCAGCTACTCAGGAGGCTGAGGCAAAAGAATCGCTTGAACCCAGGAGGTGGAGTTTGCAGTGAGCGGAGATCGCACTACCGCACTCCAGCCTGGGTGACAGAGCGAGACTCTTGTCTCAAAAAAAAGAAAGAAAATGTCTGTAAGTACAGAAAGATAAAACAGAAAGAACAATGTTAACTACAAAGTTCTTGTTTAATGTCTCCCTAGAATACAATATTTAGCCGAGAAGTTTACTCACATAATCTTAGCATGTTTGTTGTAGAAAATAAAAGGGAATTTTGTTTATTTAAATTATAAATAAACTCATTTTGTAATCATATTATATAAATTCCTGTTAGAATCTTGGATCTAGTTTTTTCTTCACAGATTGCAAGTAACATAAAATAAAGCTTCCACCAGATTTGAATCTAAATACCACACTCACTTTACAATTCTGAATTTTGGTTTCTACATTTGTAAAATAGAAATAGTAATACATGTCTCATAAGTTTAGTATGAAGATTAAGTGACGTAAGGCCCTCGGTATAATGCCTGGTATAGAGTAAATATACATTATTATTGCTGTTATTACTTTTGGAGACAGGGTCTCATTCTGTCACCCAGGCTGGAGTGCAGTGGTACATTCATGGCTCACAGTAGTCTTGAACTCCTAGGCTCAAGTGATCCTCCTGCCTCAGCCTCTTGTTTAGCTGGGAGTACAAGCACATGCCACCATGTCCAGCTAATTTAAAAAAATTGTTTTTCCAGAGACAGGTTCTCGCTATGTTGCCAGGGCTGGTCTTGAACTCCTGGCCTCAAGCGATCCTCCTGCCTTGGCCTCCCAAAGTGCTGGGTTTATAGATGTGAGCCACTGCACCCAGCTATGAAAAATTAATTTTTCCTCAGGCATGCATATCTACCATGTTACAGGAATCATCACAGGGAGTATGAGGGAATAGACTCCCATTAAATGAGATGAGATTAAATGAGACAGTGGATGTAACTCAGTAAAGTCCTTCTAAATGGTGACCTTTATTATTATAATAACATAATCTCAGTCTGCCAAATCAGGTGTGCAACAAACTATTTTAACGTAATGACTTCACGTGTGTTTTGAGTTCCCAGTCTGCTAGATAACAGCAAATTAATCTTAGATATGTGAGGTTTGTTTGTTTGTAGAGGTCTCACTGTGTTGCCCAGGCAGGTCTCAAATTCCTGGCCTGAAGCTGTCCTCCCGCCTCAGCCTCCCAAAGGGTTGGGATGACAGGCGTAAGCCACCATGCCTGGCCCAAAATTTGGAGTTTTCTTTCCTTCCTGCTGGATGGTGCGTGAGTTCTAGGGTCTTACCTTGTGCCAAGATGTGAGTTGGAGGGCAATTTTTCCTTATAATCATCTTTCCTCATAGGTCACACAGAAGTGGCCTGTTCTTGTGCCTATGCCTTCTTCAAATCTGGGGCATCCTCCCTCCACTTCTATTTACAGCCTGGGGGCCATGGGAATCTTTCTGTTGCTTCAGTGTCAAACAAGGGCATGGACATCTTAGAGTGCCTGTGGCGTTGCCAACCAAAACACCCTATACGCAGTGCCATCTCTGGGGTCCTGCTGTTCCCTGGCATGCAGCCCAGGAATCAGGGCCTCAGGCCTTTCTTCCTTGGAGCCACCTTGTCACTGCTCTCTCATATCAGTGCCTCACTTCTGTCTCCCACTGCTTAAGGGTCTTTTAATCTGGTCTCCCTAAAGAACTTTACCTATTATTACCTATTATTAAGAATAGGTTTAGTTTCTTTCAGAAACTATTGTTTCGGAGTGTTTTCCACTTTTGTTACCATTTCATCTCTCATCTGAGCCAATAGACACATAGATTGCTTAAATGGCTGAAGGCGGGGGGAAGGGAGGATACTAGAAGAAAATAAAAACAAGGCCGGCGCAGTGGCTCATGGCTGTAATCTTGGCACTTTGGGAGCCCAAGGCAGGCAGATCACTTGAGCCCAGGAGTTCAAGACCAGCCGGGGAAACGTAGGGAGACCCTGTCTCTACAAAAAATAAAAAATTAGCCAGGCATGGTGGTGTGCACCTGTTAGTCCCAGCTACTCCAGAGGCTGAGGTTGGAGGATTGCTTGAGCCCAGGAGGTCAAGGCTGTGGTGAGCCAAGCTCATGCCACTGCACTCTAGCCTGGGCCACAGAGCAAGACCCTGTCTCAAAAAGGGAAAAGAAAGAAAGAAAGAAAAGAAAAACATATCAGGTAAGGGTTCCAACTGTAATACAATTTTCTTTCTTTTTTTTTTCTTTTTGAGACAGCATCTCACTCTGTTGTCCAGGCTGGAGTTCAGTGGCGCCATCTCGACTTACTGCAGCCTTGACCTCCTGGGTTCAAGTGATCCTTCCACTTAAGCCTCCCAAGTAGCTGGGACCACAGGCATGTGCCACCACGCCCAGCTAATTTTTGTATTTTTTGTAGAGACGGGCTTTCACCATGTTGCGCAGGCTGGTCCTGAGCTCCTGGTCTCAAGCAATCCTCCTGCCTCAGCCTCCCGAAGTGCTGGGATTACAGACGTGAGCCATCAGGCCCAGCCTATAATGGAATTCTTATTATCAGATTAGCCTTTCTGCCTTAAACAACCATGAAACTGCCCAAAAGCTATGAGCAACCATTTTCAAACAATAGACAACAGGCAGTGCATGACAGTAATCCCCAAGATCACTGATGAGATGTTTCCCACAATTTCTCTGTCTCTCTGCTGGCGACAGCTTTCCAATTGCAGCATAGCAAGCTGGAATTCTGGCAGAGTAGGGATGCCCTGCTGTGTTGAGAAGAGATCAGAGTGAAGGGCTGCCGAAACCGCTGCAGTCCATAAGTCGTGGCCCTGGAGAGAATGGAGCTGCTTATGTGGGAGGCAGAGATCCACACCATGGCTTTCTCATGAGTTCTTAGCTGAAAACTGGGCTGTACATGTGTAGGGAAGACTACCTGAGGGTTACCAGAGAGAGGCTGCTACCCAGTTGAGAGCAAAGCAGATAATAGAGGTCAGGCAGATAACAGAATCCAGAGCCTCTACAATGTATCATCCAGTGTCCTTGACACAATCTACAATTCCTAAACATACAAGGAAACAGAAAAATATGACCCATAGCAAAAACAACAATCAATAGAAGCTGACCACAAGGTGGTCCAGATGCTGGACTTAGCAAAGACTTTAAGGAAATTATTATATGTTCAAAATTCTAAAGGAAAGTGTGTTTAAAGAATTAAAGGAAAATATGTTTAAATAATTAGGCCAGGCGCGGTGGCTCAAGCCTCTAATCCCAGCACTTTGGGAGGCTGAGGTGGGTGGATCACCTGAGGTCAGGAGTTCGAGACCAGCCTGACCAACATGGTGAAACCCCATCTCTACTAAAAATACAAAAAATTAGCCAGGCTTGTTGGTGCGTGCTTGTAATCCCAGCTACTCGGGAGGCTGAGGCAGGAGAATCTCTTGAACCTGGGAGGCGGAGGTTGCAGTGAGCCGAGATCGCGCCATTGTACTCCAACTTGGGCAACAAGAGTGAAATTCCGTCTAAAAAAAGAAAAGGAAAATATGTTTAAATAATTAAAGGAAAATATGGTCTTTTTTTCTTTTTTTAAGAGACGGTGTCTCACTGCATTGCCTAGGCTGAACTTGAACTCCTGGGCTGAAGAGATCCTCTTGCTTCAGCCTCCCAAGTAGCTGAGACTACAGCCATGTGCCCCCACACCCAGCAGGAAAGGTGTTTTCTTTTGAGGCAGGTTCTAACTCTGACACCCAGGCTGGAGTACAAGTGGCATGATCTTGGTTCACTGCAGCCTCAACCTCCAGGGCTCAAGTGATCCTCCCACCTCAGCCTCCCAAGTAGCTGGGACTACAGGTGCACACCACCATGCCCAGCTAATTTTTGGTTTTTTTTTTTTTTTTTTTTTTTGGCAGAGACAGGTTTCACCCTGTTGCCCAGGCTGGTCTCAAACTCCTGGGTTCCAGCAGTCCACCCACCTCGGCCTCCCAAAGTGTTGGAATTACAGGCATGAGCCACCACACCCAGCCAGGAAAGATCTTAATGAGTGAATGAATAGAAAACCAAGCAGACAAGCTGGTGGCTCCTGCCTGTAATCCTAGCACTTGGGAGGCCAAGGCGGGTAGATCACTTGAGGTCAGGAGTTTGAGAACAGCCTGGCCAACATGGTGAAACCTCCTCTCTACTAAAAATACAAAAATTAGCCGGGCATGGTGGCGCATACCTGTAATCCCAGCTACTGAAGCTGAGGCAGGAGAATCTCTTCAACCTGGGAGGTAGAGGTTGCAGTGAGCCGGTATTGCACCACTGCACTCCAGCACAGGCGACAGGACAAGACTCTTTCTCAAAAAAAAAAAGAAAAAAAAAAAAAAACCACCAAGCAGATAAATGTCAATTATAGCAAAGTACCATCTAGAAATTCTAGAACTGAAAAGTATAATAACTGAAACAAAAAGTATTTAAGATGGACTTGACTTCTTATAGAGAAGGCCGAAGACAAAGATAGGCAACTTAAAGACAGATCAAGAAAAATGATCCAGTCTGAAAAACAGAGAGAAAAAGGACTGAAGAAAAATACGGCAAGCCTCAGAGATCCGTGGAACAATATCAAATATCTGGATATATTTGCTTGTCTTATCATTATAAGAGAGGGACTAAAGACCAATGGGAATTTGGGTAGGGCTTACGAATTGTGCTTGTCACTATCATGTGCCCTGGGGAGGCCCTATGTTGGGATACCTCCAGGATCACTTTATTTAGGTGTTTCAGGCCGCTTGGATTCCCCAGAGAAGCCTCTTTAAATGTTCCAATCTCCTGGTAATGCTCAGGGAGCCCAGTGGGAGAATAGAGCTGGACTCAGCATCTAACATTCAATAGCAGTAGTCACTTAAACCCTTATTTTTGGTACAGTACTCACATCCTCAACTATGCCTGGTTTCCTCAGTCCACAGACCTTTATTTTACCATCTGTAGGTACTAATGCCTCTTCTTGGAGACAAGGGAGGGGCAGTTGCTAATAAGTATGGAGTGGGTGAGGGGATCTCAGGATCTAGCTGCATCTCAAACTGCTTTCACCCAGTTCTCATTATTTTGGACCTCCTTTCACTCCCAATTCCAGAGATGCCTGGGTTCTGTCAGTTTCTGTGCCTTTTTAGGATACTGTGATGGTTAATATGTGTCAAATTGACTGGGCCAAGTGCCCAGATATTTGGACAAACATTATTCTGGGTGTTTCTGTGAGGGTGTTTTTGGATGAAATTAGCATTTAGGTGGGATCTGGTGGTTCATGCCTGTAATCCCAGCATTTTGGGAGGCCATGGTGGGAGGATTACTTGAGGCCCGGGTTTTGAGACCAACCTGGGCAACACTGCAAGACCCTGTCTCTACAAAAACAAAATAAAAAAGAAATTCGCATTTAAATCAGTAGACTTGAGTGAAGTCAATTGCTCTCTGTCTCGGTCTGCTCAGCCTACTATAATAAAATACCATACACATGCTGGTTAAACAACAGAAACATTTCTCACAGTTCTGGGGGCTGGAACGTCCAAGGTCAAGGTGCTAGGCAGTTTACCTTCTGGTGAGGAGCCTCTTGCTGGCTTGCAGATGGCTGCCTTCTCACTGTGTCTTCCTCACGTGGTGCAGAGAGAGATCTCTTGTGTCTCTTCTTACAAAGCCACTAATCCCATAATGAGGGCTCCCATATGCCCTTGTTGCTCCCAAAGGCCCCATCTCCAAATACCATCACCCTGAGGGTTAGGGCTTTAATGTGATTTGGGGGGGACACAAGTGTTCAGTTCATAACATTCCCCATAGTGTGGGTGGTCTCATCCAGTTAGTTGGAGGCCTGAATAAAGACTGACCTTTTGCCCCAGCAAGAGGTATTTTACAGCTGACTTACTTGGTCTGCTGAAAAATACCTCTTCATCCACACTACAGATTTTGGATTTACCAGCCAAATAATCATGCGAGCCAATTCCTTTTCTCTCTCACTGTCTTTGTCTTTTTCTTTCTGTCTCTCCTACATATGCGCTCGCACACACACACGCGCACACACACACACACACGCACACCCCTTATTGCCTCCTATTGTTTCTCTGGAGAACCCTGCCCACTACTGGCCCAAGAATGGTTCCTTCTTAGGTCAGCTAAGACAGTCACCACTCTTCTGCTTTCTAGGTTCCAAAAGCTTGCTGCTGTTGTCTCTCTCTCTCTTTTTGTTTGTTTGTTTGTTTGTTTTTCTTTTTTGAGACAGGGTTTTGTTCTGCCTGCCAGGCTGGCGTGCAGTGGCATCATCTTGGCTCACGGCAACCTCCGTCTCCCAGGCTCAAGTGATCCTCCCATCTTAGCCTCCCGAGTAGCTGGGACCACAGGCATGTGCCACCAAGCTTGGCTAATCTTTTTTTCTTTTTCTTTTTTTTTTGTTTTTGTTTGTTTGTTTTTGAGACAGTCTCCCTCTGTGGCCCAGCCTGGAGTGCAGTGGTGCAATCTCGGATCATTGCAACCTCTGCCTCCCAGGTTCAAGCAATTTTCCTGTCTCAGCCTTCCAAGTAGCTGGGATTATAAGTGTGTGCCACCATGCCTGGCTACTTTTTTTTTGGCATTTTTAGTAGAGACAAGGTTTCAACGTGTTGGCCAGGCCGGTTTGAACTCCTGGGCTCAAGTGATCCACCCGGTTTGGCCTTCCAAAGTGCAGGGATTATAGGCGTGAGCCACCACGCCTGACCTGCTGTCATCTGTTCTGTTCTCATTGTTGTAGACTTATTGTAGTTTTTACTATATATACAGTCACTTTACTATAGTAGGTTTTTGGGGGAATGGATCTAGATGTGCATGTTTAATCTGCAATTTCAGCCCAGAGCTCCTGGACTTCCTAATTCTTAAGAGTGATTTAAATAACAGAACGTTTCCTGGAAATTGTGTTCTTATGCAATATGTTAGCAGCCTTCTGTTGGTCTCCCCCTCATTAAAGGGCCTCAAAAGAGATTTCTTCTTTTTTTTTTTTGGCAGGGCCTTGCTCTGTTACCCATGCTGGAGTACAGTGATGCCATTATGGCTCACTGCAGTCTTGACCTCCAGGGCTCAAGCCATCCTCCCACCTCAGCCTCCTGAGTAGCTGGGACTACAGACATGCAACACCATGCCCAGCTAATGTTTAATTATTTTTTAATAGAGACCCAGTCTCATTTTGTCGCCCAGGCTGGTCCTGAACTCTTGGGCTCAAGCAATCTTCCCACCTCCCAAAATGCTGGTATCACAGGCTTGAGCCACCATACCCTGCCCTCAAAAGAGAGAAATTAATTAATTAATGTATTTATTTTTGAGACAGAGTCTCACTCTGTCGCCCAGGCTGGAGTACAGTGGTGTATCTTGGCTCACTGCAACCTCTGCCTCCTGGGTTCAAGCAATTCTGCTGCTTCAGCCTCCTGAGTAGCTGGGATTACAAGTGCACGCCACCATGCTCAGCTAATTTTTGTATTTTTAGTAGACACTGGGTTTCTCCATGTTGGCCAGGCTAGTCTTGAACTCCTGACCTCAAGTCATTCACCCACTTCGGCCTCCCAAAGTGCTGGGCTACATGCGTGAGCCACTGTGGCTGGCCAAAAGAGATTTCTTAATCTACCTTCCTTCTTGTGTACAAAAGGGCCACAAAGCTATTAAAATAAATCATAATTATGTCTGTTCCAAGTCCATTACTTGAACATGACAAATCAGTAAGAGACACTCATTTTCTTCTAGAGAAGTAGGTATCTTCAAGGGCCCTGGGCTCACCACAAGTTCACAAATGCATAGCTTCTTGGACATGTCTGGCCTTAGCTGACAGTAAATACTAAAATATACTTCAGATACAAAACATCTACTACATCTAACTCAAGCTAGCAATGTCAAATGATTACCTTGGTCTTAACATCTAAAAGGCTTTTTCTTCCCTTAAATGAGTCCTAGCATTAGGTATCCCTGATTACAGTAAGCAGTTCACTCTTCCATTAAAAAAAACAACCTTCATTATACAAACACAGACTAATGGAGACAACGCCCTAGTGCCTGTGATCATTCTTCTTACGCTGGAAAATACCTGCTTTGCCTCCAGCCTGTGTTCTGTGGCCAGGACAGCTGTCTTGGTAGAGGCTTCTTGTGTTTTCATCCTGGTGTCCCTCTTTATGGGGCTGCTCCACCTCAGCACTCCTTCTAAAAACCAAAATGCAATTCCTATCAACTGTCGAATATGTAAATATTACATTTTACTCATCTCTGCTGGTCATATTACCCTTATGCTTTGCCTCCCAGTAAACCCAGCATCTTTTTTTTTTTTTTTTTTTTTTTTTTTTTTTTTTGGAGATAGGGTCCTGCTCTGTCACCCAGGCTGGAGTGCAGTGACGCAGTCACAGCTCACTGCAGCGTCAACCTCCCAGGCTCAAGCTTTCCTCCCACTTCGGCCTCCTGAGTAGTTGGAACTAGAGGTGCACTTCACCATCCTGGTAATTTTTTTTTTTTTGAGACAGAGTCTCCCTCTGTTGCCCAGGCTGGGGTGCAGTGGCGCGATGTCAGCTCACTGCAACCTGTGCTTCCCAGATTCAAGCAATTCTCCTTCCTCAGCCTCCTGAACAGCTGGGATTACAGGTGCCTGCCACCACGCCCGGCTAATTTTGTATTTTTAGTAGAGACGGGGTTTTGCCATGTTGGCCAGGCTGGTCTTAAGCTCCTGACCTCAAGTGATCCACCCACCTCCAAAAGTGCTGGGATTACAGGTGTGAGCCATCATGCCTGCTTGTATTTTTTTTTTTTTTTTTTTGAGACGGAGTTTCGCTCTGTGGCCCAGGCTGGAGTGCAATGGCACGATCTCGGCTCACTGCAAGCTCGGCCTCCCGGGTTCACGCCATTCTCCTGCCTCAGCCTCCCGAGTAGCTGGGACTACAGGCGCCCGCCACCACGCCCGGCTAATTTTTTGTATTTTTAGTAGAGATGGGGTTTCACCATGTTAGCCAGGATGTTCTCGATCTCCTGACCTCATGATCCACCCACCTCGGCCTTCCAAAGTGCTGGGATTACAGGTGTGAGCCACGGCGCCTGGCTGCCTGCTTGTATTTTTTTGTAGAGATGGAGTCTATGTTGCCCAGGCTGGTCTCTGAACTCCTGGCCTCAAGCAATCCTACCACCTCAGCCTCCCAAAGTGTTGGGACTACAGACACGAGCCTCTGTGCCCAGCCTCCAACATCTTTATTCTACCTCCAGTCTACTAAAAACCTCACAATTGTCTTGCAGTCTTTTTCATACACCTTTGCCTTCACAAAGCCTTTCTTCCCTCTTTTCCGTTAGCAGAATCTTGGTTTTTGTAGGCACATCTATGCTCCCCTCCGCCAACCAACACCTTCCCCAGCTCAGGGGCAAATCTTGATTAGCTGGGTACCTTTTCCCTGGATGAGGATTGGCCCAGCATGGACATGTGATACAGTTCTGGCCCATGAGACAGATTTCATGGGGAGGCTTCCAAGAAGTTTCCTCATTCTTTAAAAGAGACCCCCAGGAAGACTCATTCTCTTTTGCTAATCCTTGCTGAGGCTGACTGTGGCATCTGGAGCTGCAGCAGCCTTCTTGTGATCAGGATGGAATGAAGAGAAAGACAGAAAGACTGAGGGCCCTTCACAACGTCAGCAAATCCACCAACCATGGGGCTTAGCTGCCCTACTTCAGGAAATGTTGTTTAATGAAATAATAAAATGCCCTAACTTTTTTTTTTTTTTTTTTTGAGATGGAGTCTCACTCTGTCGCCCAGGCTGGAGTGCAGTGGCGTGATCTCAGCTCACTGCAAGCTCCACCTCCCAGGTTCACGCCATTCTCCTGCCTCAGCCTCCTGAGTAGCTGGAACTACCAGCGCCTGCCACCACACCTGGCTAATTTTTTGTATTTTTAGTAGAGACGGGGTTTCTCTGTGTTAGCCAGGATGGTCTCGATCTCTTTACCTCATGATCCACCCGCCTCGGCCTTCCAAAGTGCTGGGATTACAGGCGTGAGCCACTGCACCCGGACTAACTTTTTTTTTTTTTTTTCAGAAACAGTGTCTCACTCTGTTGCCCAGGATAGAGTACAGTGGCCGCATCATGGCTTGCTCCAGCCTCAACTCCTGGGCTCAAGGGGGAGCCCGACTAATTTTGTATGTTTTGTTGTGTTTTGTTTTGTTTTGAGACAGGGTCTCACTCTGTCACCCAGGCTGGAGCTCACTGCAGCCTCCACCTCCCCAGGCTCATGTGATCCTCACACGTCAGCTTCCAGAGTAGCTGGAACCACACGTATGTGTTGCCTGGCTAATTTTTGATTTTTTTTTTCTTTTTAAGTTTTGTATTTTTTGTAGAGATGGGGTTTCACCGTGTTGCCCAGGCAGGTCTCAAAATGCTAGACTCAAGTGATCCTCCTTCCTTGGCCTCTTTAAAGTGTTGGGATTACAGACTTGATAGCCACCATGCGAGGCTTTTTTTTTTTTTTTTTTTTTGAGATGGTGTTGTGCTCTGTCACCCAGCCTGGAGTGCAGTGGTGCCATCATAGCTTACTGCAGCCTCAACCTCCGGGTCTCAAACCATCCTCCCACCTCAGCCTCCCGAAGCTCTGGGATGACAGTCATGAGCCACCATGCCCAGCCAAAATGCCCTAACTTTTTAAAGCCAAATTGAAGTTGGATGTACTAGATCTTTTTCTGATTGGTCCTTCAGACTCATTTCTCTCTGTCAATCAGGAGGCTGGGTTTGGCCTGTGACATGTATCAACAGATCAAAGGGTGGGAGTACAGAGCCAGGTCCTGGTTCACTGGTGGCTGCATCCTTTGCCCAAGGTCATAACCCCTGTCAGGTGGCTTTTGTGCTGTAGCTATACATCAGATTTCAAGAACCTCTCCTTCCTTTTGCCCTCTCAACTAAAAAGTGTGGTGGTGGTTTCCTTCTGTTGCTAGTTTCATTCTTTGTGGTTCCCTGAACCCTACCTATACTTTAGTAAGTAATTGCTTCATTAGCATCTCTTAAATATCCTCTTTTGGCTGGGCGCAGTGGCTCACACCTGTAATCCCAGCACTTTGGGAGGCCGAGGCAGGCGGATCACGAGGTCAGGAGATCAAGACCATCCTGGCTAACACGGTGAAATCCTGTCTCTACTAAAAATACAAAAAATTTTTGTAGTCCCAGCTACTCGGGAGGCTGAGGCAGGAGAATTGGCGTGAACCCGGGAGGCAGAGGTTGCAGTGAGCCGAGATTGCGCCACTGCACTCCAGCCTGGGTGGCAGAGCGAGACTCCGTCTCATAAAAAAAAAAAAAAAAAAAATTCTCTCTTGCGTTTGCCAACTCTTTTCCGCCAGGACCCTGACTAATACTTGGGTTTGCAACTGTTGCAATTACTGCCCACCTGAATGAACCCTTACTATCCTTAAAGACATTTTACTATCATCTTTCATGTAGATGAGTCTGTTCATTGGTTTTAGAGCATGAAGTGGTGTAATGTGCCCATTTTGATTTTTGTCTGACGTTCTGATAGGTGATTAATTGATTGTTTTTATCAAAACGTCTACTCTCCTAATAAATCTGTCAATTTTTTTTATTCCACCTATAACTTTTGTTTTTTATTTTTATTTTTTTGAGACGGAGTCTAGCTCTATCGCCTAGGCTGGAGTGCAGTGGTGCGATCTTGGCTCACTGCAACCTCTGCCTCCAGGGTCCAAGCAATTCTCCTGCCTCAGCCTCCTGAGTAGCTGGGATTACAGGCATGCGCCATGACACCTGGCTAATTTTTGTATTTTTAGTAGCGACGGGGTTTCGCAGTGTTGGCCAGGCTGGTCTCGAACTCCTGACCTTAAGTGATCTGCCTTCCTTGGCCTCCCAAAGTGCTGGGATTACAGGCGTGAACCACTGCTCCTGGCCCATCTATAACTTTTGGGTTGTTCACATTTATGGGAAAACAATGAGGAGAAATAAATTTCCAAATGTTTTTAGATTAATGACTTTTACATGCCTTCCAAGTATCTTCTAAAGAAGTGTTATGAGATGTTCCAGCCGGGCACGGTGGCTTACGCCTGTAATCCCAGTACTTTTGGAGGTGGGCAGGTCACCTGAGGTCAGGAGTTAGAGACCAGTCTGGGCAACATGGTGAAACCCTGTCTCTACTAAAAATACAAAAATTAGCCAGGCATGGTGGCGCATGCCTATAATCCCAGCTACTCAGATAGCTGAAGCAGGAGAGTTGCTTGAACCTGGGAGGTGGAGGTTGCAGTTAGTCGGTGATGACTGTTGAGATGTAACACCAGCAGCATGATCCGTGACAGAATTAATAAGGTGGACTTTATTAAAATTAAAATTTTCTGCTTTACAAAAGACACTCTTAAGAGAACAAAAAGACAAGACAGACTAGAAGAAAATGTTTGCAAAAGATATATCTGATAATGGACCATTATCCAAAATATACAAAGAATTCTCAAAACTTAACAATAAGAAAACAAACAACCTGATTAAAAAATGAGTCAAAGGCCTGGCATGGTGGCTCGTACCTATAATCCTAACACTTTGGGAGGCTGAGGCAGTAAGATTGCCTGAACCCAGAAATTCAATACCAGCCTGGGCAATATAGTGAGACCTCGTCTCTACAAAAAATATAAAAATTAGCTGGGTGTCGTGGTGCAGGCCTGTTGTCCCACCTACTTGCTAGGCTGAAATGGGAGGATGGCTTGAGCCCAGGAGGCGGAGGTTGCAGTGAGCCATGATTGTGCCACTGCACTCCAGTCTGGGCAATAGAGCAAGACTCTGTCTCAAAAAACAAAAGCAAACCCAAAAATATGCCAAAGACCTTAACAGACACCTTACCAAAGCAGATAAACAGATGGCAAATAAGCATATGAAAAGATGCTCCACATTTCCCTTTCATCAGGGAAAAGCAAAATAAAACAACAATAAGATGTCATTGCATACCTATTAGAATGGCCAAAGTCCAGAACACTTACAACATCAAATGCTGGCAAGCATGTGGAGCAACAGGAACTCTCATTGCTGATGGGAATGCAGAATGGCATAGCCACTTTGGAAGACAGTATGGTAGTTTCTTACAAAACTAAACCTACTCTTGCCATATGATCCAATGTTGGCTTTGAAAACTTATGTCCATACAAAACCCTGCACAGGTATTTATAGCAGCTTTATTCATAACTGCCAAAACTTGGAAGTAACTAAAATGTCCTTCAGTAGGTGAATGGATAAATTGTGATACATTCAAACAATGGAATATTATCCAGCATTAAAAAGAAATGAGCTACCAAGCCGTAAAGAGACATGAGGAAAACTTAATTCCATAATGCTAAGTGAAAGAAGCCAGTCTGAAAAGGCTACACACTGTATTATTCCAACAATATGGCATTCTGGAAAAGACAAAACTGTGGAGATGGTAAAAAGATCAGTGGTTGCCAGGGGCTGAGGGCAGGAAGGGATGAATAGGCAGAGAATAGAGGAGTTTTAGGGCAGTGAAAATACTCTGTATGATACTATAATGGTGGACACATGTCCTATATATTTTTCCATTTGTCCATAGATTGTACAACAACAAGAATGAACCTTAATATAAACTATACACTTTGAGTGATGATGTGTCAATGTAGGTTCATCAGTTGTAATAAATGTAGCACTCTGGTGGGGGATGTTGTTAATGGGGGGGATTGTGCATGTGTTGGGGGGGCATATGAGATATCTCAGTGCCTTCCTCTTAATTTTGCTATGAACCTAAAACTGCTCTCAAAAAAATAAAGTCTGGCCGGGTACAGTGGCTCACACCTGTAATCTCAGCACTTTGGGAAGCCAAGGCAGGTGGATCACCTGAGGTCAGGAGTTCGAGATCAGCCTGGCTGACATGATGAAACCCTGTCTCTACTAAAATTACAAAAATTAGCTGGGTGTGGTGGCGCGCGCCTGTTATCCCAGGTACTCGGAAGGCTGAGGCAGGAGAATCGCTTGAACCCAGGAGGCGGAGCTTGCAGTGAGCCGAGATTGCACCACTGCACTCCAGCCTGGGTGACAGAGTGAGACTCTATCTCAAAAAAAATAATAAAATAAAATAAAGTCTTTAAAAAAATAATCTTTGGCTACTTCAGCCATTTTCTCCCTTCTCAGGCCATGGCTTTGGTTTCATCCTCAACCTCCAACTAGGTTCCTCTGACAACTTTTTTTTTTTTTTTAACATTTCTCTGCTCCAAAACCAGACCCCAAATTCAGGGAGGAAATTATGTAGAGGCTGATGGTCTTACACCCAGATCACCTGTGGTTTTCCCCAAATGGCCACTTGATGGCACTCAAGAATCTTCTTCTTGTTCACATGATTCCTGGAATGGCTCATGTGAAATAAAGGGGGTATGATGAATGAAGGACTTTTGATAAAAGTCATTAGATGCTATGGATATGTTCCAGTGTGTTCCATTGTAGACCACAGTACTATCATGTCTGCCTTTTTTTTTTTTTTTTTGGTAGAGATGGGGGTCTCACTATGTTGCCCTGGCTGGTCTTGAACTCTTGGGCTCAAGCAGTCCTTTTGCCTCAGCCTCCCAAAGTGTTGGGATTATAGGTATGAGCCACTGCACCTGGCCTGTCTCTGCCATTTTTTGACAGATAATGGAACGGCATGATTCACAACAGTATTATTCTGTTAATTTCATCCAGATGAAAAAATACTGATCACATAAATAGAAATATATGTTTAGAGATGTGTAGAACTATCACCATATACAAAATATACTACACTGTCATCATCAAAGAGTTGTTAAAAGTTTTCCTACTCAAATTTGAAATATCTGCCAGGCATGGTGGCTCACACCTGTAATTCCAGCAATTTGGGAGGCTGAGGCAAGCAGATAACTGGAGCTCAGCAGTTCGAGACCAGCCTTGGCAACATAGCAAAACCGCGTCTCTACTAAAAAATTAAAAAATTAGCCGGGCATGGTGGCGTGCACCTGTAATACCAGCTACTCAAGAGACTGAGGTGGGAGGATGGCTTGAGCCCGGGAGGTTGAGGTTGCAATGAGTCAGGATCGTGCCACTCACTCCAGCCTGGGCAACAGAGCAAGAGTCTATCTCTAAAAAAAAAAAAAAGAAGAAGAGGTCGGGCGTGGTGGCTCACGCCTGTAATCCCAGCACTTTGGGAGGCCAAAGCATGTGGATCACTTGAGGTCAGGAGTTCTAGACTAGCCTGGCCAACATGGTAAAATCCCGTCTCTTCTAAAAATACAAAAATTAGCTGGGCGTGGTGGCAGGCACCTGTAATCCCAGCGGGGCCGAGGCAGGAGAATCACTTGAACCCGGGAGGTGGAGGTTGCAGTGAGCCGAGATCGCACCATTGCACTCCAGCCTGGGGGACAAGAGCGAGACTTCGTCTCAAAAAAAAAAAAAAAAAGAGAGAAATATCCTTGTCCTTTAATACAATGAGACACAAACCTCATAGGTCAAATGGGAAAGGAAGTCTGTGAAGGCTTTCAGATGCAACAAGACTTTGACTACTGACTTTCACTATAGAATCAGCGGGTGGGGGGGTATAAAATGACAAAATAGAATTTCAGAAACTAAATTGGTCAAGATGTGTGCAGAAACCTGATTCAAATGGCCTAGATAGTTCCCAGAGTTCTTGCAAGTATAAGATGCACAGCTGTCAAAGAGACATTCTCATCTTGAAATATTAATGGGTTGGCCCATGACACGTCCCTCTATACTCCCAGGGGAACCCACTTAAAAGCAATAATATATTAAATGATATCCTCCTAAATTAGTACAAAGCATTCTATAAAAAGCGTGTCAAGGCCTTCTTTTCACATGTCCTACCGTGGCAGATGCTGTTGGTGCTTCACCTGTATCCCCCTGGATCCCTTTTACCATTTCTGTCCTGTTATCCTCCACTTTCTGTGACCTTTGTTTCCAGTGGCTTGTACCTGAGGGCATCACACCTGGTCTGCTGGGGTTGCTGTGCACACCAGCATATAAAGGGAGTGAGAATGGCCTGAGAGTTTATGTGTCCTTCCTACCTGTGTTCATAACCACTGACTGGTGCAGGAAAGCCTGCACTTTCACTGATGTGAAAGCCCAGCTCCCTCACTGCAGTGGAACAAAACTATAAAGTGTAATTTCCCCTTCAGAACTCACCTCTGCATCAGGCTGAGGCTGGGACATGGCCAGCATCAAAGCCTTGCTTGGCATCTTCCTCTTCCTTTACTTCTTTTCTGCATTCCTTTAATTGTTTCTCCTGGGAGCACTTCCTTAATAAATCATTTGCACATTGCTTCTGTCTCAAAATTTGTTTTCGGGAACCCAACCTAAGAAACCAACCATCCCTGATAAACCATGCTGCCATGTGCAGCCTAAAATTGGGATACACATCCTAAAATTGGGATACACATCCTAAAATTGGGATACACACCAGAAAAAAAACTTCGTTGAAACATTGCTAATAGGGGCCTTTGGCCTTGAATCCATGACTGCAAAAATACTTCTCTAATGTGGGCAGGGAGGGGAATGAAGAGACAGAGCAATGCTGCTTAGAGCTTTGCCCTTGACACAAAAACAGGAGCTGCCAGGGAAACAACCACTGCAATCATTTGTGCTTCATGAGGAGCAGCCACCAGGGGCTGTTGGTTGTGATTCTGTTCTTCTTGCTATGGAATGATCCTGGATCTCTGTTTGTTTGTTTGTTTTTTGTTTGTTTGTTTTTAAGAGTCTTGTGCTGTCGCCCAGACTGGAGTGCAGTGGCGGGATCTCAGCTCACTGCAACCCCTGCCTCCTGGGTTCAAGCGATTCTCCTGCCTCAGCCTCCCGAGTAGCTGGAATTACAGGCGCCCACCACCATGCCTGGCTAATTTTTGTATTTTTAGTAGAGACAGGGTTCGCCATGTTGGCCAGGCTGGTCTCGAACTTCTGACCTCAAGCGATCTGCCCACCTCGGCCTCCCAAAGTGCTGAGATTACAGGCTTGAGCGCCCGGCTTTGGATGTCTGTTTTAACTTCCTCTTCAGTTGAAGGAGATTGGCAATCCCAAAACAAAGATACTTCACCAATCCAAACAAGTTTGTAAAAACCCACTGCCTCCTGAAGTCTTTGGCACTCACTTGGCTATAACTATAATTTTCTCATTCATCATCTCACCAGACTAAGAAAACAATGCTATTCTTTGACCCAGCAACATGCTAAGAACTTGTGTGTCTTTTCTTGTCAGTTATGCTCACATGGGACTCACAGTTACTGGAAGACATAACATGAAATATAGACAATTTCAGATGAGCAAAAGCTGAGAGAATTCATTTTCATCAGATTTGCACTACAATAAGCACTAAAGATTGTTCATCAGGCTGAAAGGCAAAGATATCCAGTGACGGCACTCCTTGGTATTTACCCAAAGGAGTTGAAAACGTATGTCCACATAAAACCCTGCACAGATATTTATAGCAGTTTTATTCATAACTGCCAAAACTTGGAAGCAACCAAGATGTCCTTCAGTAGGTGAATGGATAAATAAATTATGGTACATTCTACAGAAAGGAATGAAGAACATCTTATATGGGCTAATATAAAAGCCTATATTTTTTTAATTTTAAAAATAATTTCTTTAAAAAACAACTGACCAAACAAAAACAATAATAATTTATTGTAAGATTTAAAACATGTAAGGCCAGGCACAGTGGCTCATGCCTGTAATCTCAGCACTTTGGGAGTTTGAGGCAGAAGAATCACTTGAGCCTAGGAATTTGAGACCAGTCTGGGCAACGTGGTTAGACTCCCTCTCTACAAAAAATACAAACAAATTAGACTGGCATGGTGATGTGTACCTGTAGTCTCAGCTACCTAGGAGGCTGAGGTGGGAGAATCACCTGAGCCTGGGAAGTTGAGGCTGCAGTGAGCCGTGATTGTACCATTGCACACCAGCCTGGGCAATAAAATGAGACTCTATCTCAAAAATAAATAAAAATAAAACATGTAAAAGTAAAATATATGACAATAATAGCAGAAGGACAGGTAGGGTAAATGAAATTATTCTCTCTTTAGGTTATACATTTTATGGATAAATTAATTCTAAGCAAAATGTAATAAATTAAGAATGTAGGCCGGGCACAGTGGCTTATGCCTGTAATCCCAGCACTTTGGGAGGCCGAGGCGGGCAGATCACGAGGTCAAGAGATCAAGACCATCCTGGCCAACATGGTGAAACCCCGTCTCTACTAAAAATACAAAAAATTAGCTGGACGTGGTGGTGTGCACCTGTAGTCCCAGCTACTTGGGAGGCTGAGGCGGGAGAATCACTTGAACCCAGGACATGGAGGTTGCAGTGAGCAGAGATTGCATCACTGCACTCTAGCCTGGTGACAGAGCGAGACTCTGTCTCAAATAAGTAAATAAATAAATAAATAAATAAATAAATAAATAAAAATGCATACTGTAATCACCTAGAGCTAAACTGAAAATACTATATAAAGAGGTAGAGCTAGAAACCAATAGAAGAAATAAAATGGACTAATAAAAATATTTGATTAATTGAAGGCAGGCAAAGAGAACAGAATGAAAAATAGGTGGCACAAATAGAAAACAAATAGCAATATAGTAGATTTAAACACAATCATTGCAATCATTACATTAAATATAAATGGACTAAACACTTCAATGAAAAGGCAAAGATTATTAAACAGAATAAAAAACGACCCGAATCTATGCTGGATTTTATTTTGTTTTGTTTTGGCTTCGGGGATTTTTTTTTTTTTTTTTTTTTTTTTTGTGACAGGGTCACATTCTGTGGCCCAGGCTGGAATGCAGTGGCATGATCACAGCTCACTGCAACCTCTGCTTCCTGGACTCAAGTGATCCTCCTGCCTCAGCCTCCCAAGTAGCTGGGATGACAAGCACGTACCACCACGTCTGGCTAATTTTTTTATTTTTTTGTAGAGGTGGGGTTTTACCATGTCACTCAGACTGGTCTCAAACTCCTGGACTCAAGCAATCTGCCTGTCTTGGCCTCCCAAAGTGCTGGGATTACAGGCATGCGCCACCACACCTGGCTATGCTGTCTTAAGAGACACACTTTGAATATATAGAGACCAAAAAAGTGAAAATAAAAGGATAGAGAAATATATATTTAATACAGATAAGAAGGTGAAATATAAACAAGAATAAGAACAAACAAGAAAGCTGATGTGGTTGTATTCATATCAAACAAAGTAGGCATCAAGATAAGGAGTACTAGTAGATACAAGAAGAAAAACTTTATAGAAGAATCAATTCATCAAGAATACTTAACAATCCTAAATGTGTGCACTTAGTAACTATTAGTTTGCTAGGGTTGCCATAGAAAGCCACCACAGACTGATGGTGTCAATAACCAAAATTTATTTTCTCACAGTTCTGGAGGTTAAACATCCAAGACATTGGTGTCGACAGGGTTGATTCCTTCTGAGGGCCATCTTCTCCCTTTGTCTACATATTATCTTCCCTCTTTCTGTGTCTGTGTCAGAATTTCCTCTTCTTATAAGAACACCAGTCATATTGGATTAGGGCCTACCCTAATGACCTCATTTTAACTTAATTATCTCTGTAAAGACCCTAGCTCCAATTACAGTCATGTTCTGAGGTACTCAGAGTTAAGACTTACACATACAAATTTTGGGGGAGGACACAATTCAGTCCATAACAGTAATGGGGCTTCAAAATACATGAAGGAAAAGCTAATAGAACTAAAGCAATAACTAGGCAAATCCACAGTTATGATTAGAGATTTTAATATCTCTCTGTCAGTCACTGATAGACCAAGAAAACAAAAATCACTAAGTATGTGATTTTATTGAATGACACAATTAACCAACCTTGCCTAACTGACATTTATAAAACACTGTGCCAAATAACTACAGAATACACTTTTTTTTTTCAAGGACACATAAAAAATTCCCCATGATAGACCATATGCTGGACTATAAGTAGGTCAATAAATACTAAGAGGCTGATATCTTATAGATGATGTTCTCTGACCACAATGGAATTATATTAGATAGAATAACAAAAACAAATCTAGAAAATCCCCCAGTAATTGGAAATTAAACAACATACTACTAAGTAACTCATGGGTCAAAGAATAAATCACAAAGGAAATTTAAAGATATGTTAGGCGAGGCATGGTGGCTCATGCCTGTAATCCCAGCACTTTGGGAGGCCGAGGCAGGCAGATTGCTTGAGATCAAGAGTCCAAGACAAGCCTGGGCAACATGGTGAAACTGTCTCTACAAAAAAATACAAAAATTAGGTGGGCATGGTGGTGCATGCCTGTAGTCCTGGCTACTCGGGAGGCTGAGGTGGGAGGTGACCCTGGGAGGTAGAGGCTACAGTTAACCCATGATTGTGCCACTGCACTCCAGCCTGGGTGACAGAATGAGACCCTGTTTCAAAAAGCCCACAAAATTTCATTCTTTGAAAATATTAATAAAATTGATAAACTCCAGCACTTAGAAAGAAAGAGAGAAAAAAAATGGGGCCAGAGTAAAAGTTATAGCGTTTCTTATACTGTGCTTATGGGATTTCTCTATGTTTGAACTTAACAGTCAGCCCTCCATATCCATGGGTTCTGCATCTGTGGACTCAACCAACCTTGAATCAAAAGAAATGTTTTTATTTTCTGTAGTGAACATGTGCAGACTTTTTTTTCTTGTCCTTGTTCCCTAAATAATACAATATAACAACTATTTACATAGTATTTATACTTTATTAGGTATTATAAGTAATCTAGAGATGATTTAACATTCTGTATATGGGAAAATGTGCATAGGTTATATGCAAATACAACCCCATTTTATATCAGAGACTTGAGCATCCATGGATTTTGGTGTCTGAGGGAGGTCCTGGAACCGATCCACTATGGATATCCAGGGATGACTGTATATCAAAATAAAAATTTAAACAAGGTGGGTGAAATGTGCCAAATGCTACTATTGTAGGCCTCATATTTTGGTCAAGAGAGATTGTCTTTTTCTGCTGAAATGAAGACAGTAGTGGGAGAGGTGTGGAAAGGAATAAAAGTTATGGTTGAAGGAATGGGAGGGCTGAGTCAGTCCTTAGATGGAATATGACAATGGCCTTTACAAATTAGGCTCCTGTGCACCTGCCCTTCTGACCTGGATGCCTACATAAGCTGTGTGGTATCTTTGTCATATGGAGTTTTCTGAGCCACATGAGGTTTCCAAACTAGTTTTCATTCTCTCAGTGTTTCTTGTAATCAGCACTTAAGCTCCTCTTACAGATCTAACCTAAACAGCATGTAAAGCCAAGTTTTTTTTTCTCCTTCAATGTTATGGGGAAAGAGGATTATGTTTTATAGGGGGAGAAGACAGGTGTTTGAATTTAGACCTCATGGATGAAAACAAGCCTCATGTTGCATCTGAATCAGAAACAAGGCAGAGTCATTTCTTTATTCTAAAAGCCAACGGCTGCTCAGAGACAAGCAGATTGAACCACTTCCTCCCTGCACAGAAATTCTCAGGGTATACACACGCACACATTTACACACACATATGGTTAGAAGAACAAAGAAAAGAAGCAAAAAGAAAACTAATTCACTAATGATGTCATTTGCAACTACAGGGCATAGTTATATGTCTCATATCACCTAATTTCCTCCAAAAAGCGTGTTTCATGAGTCCAAGCAATTCTCTCATAGCAGTAAGTTTAAGAGTTACATTGTAGACAAGCACTAATCAAGTAGCCAAGACAGGCTAAAAGAAAAGAAAAAAAGAGACATTGTTTCCTTTTAGATTTTTATTATGAAAAATTTCAATATGCACAAAAGAGAAGTGTAATGAAGTCTTCATATACCCATCACTCAGACTCAGCAATCCAATTACAATGAGTTGGCAAAAACTATAAAAGAGGAAGCATGCAATTTGGAATCTAGAGCAGGCCACAGTTAAATTTAGCTTTACTGGGACCTTGTTTCAACATGATTAATCAACTAATCAAAGCTCGTTTGACTTCGGTTTCCTTATCGGCATAAAGAAAGGCTAGTCTCAGCCCACCATCTGCGTCAAGTGTATAGGTTCAGGTGGAAGGCTCAGGCTCTGTTCAAGATTCTGTGTCTTCGTTGATTTATTTTTAATCAAGTTTTTGGGGACAAAAAGGCTTTAGCTTATTTTTAATTTAATTTTTTTTAAGAGACAGAATCTTACTCTGTTTCCCAGCCTGGAGTACAGGGTGTGACCATAGCTCCACGCGGCCTTAAAACTCCTGGGCTCAAGCGATCCTCCTGCCTCAGGCTCCCAAGCGGCTGGAACTACAGGTGCATGCCACCACACCTGGCTGCTTTATGTTACTTTCTACATTTTCTCAGCGAAAGTGAGACTTAACATTTTCTAACTCTACAATCTGCTGTGTTTAAGATAGTGAGCAGGGTATCTGTGTGAAGATGATCACTGGGCAAGGAGATCTCTGAACCTGGGTCTCAGGGGAGAGTTCTGGGACTGGAGATCTGTTAGAAGTGACAGTCTAATGTGGGAGACGATGTCAAGAAAAAGAGTTGGGAAGGGGAGTAAGGCCTGGGTAGAGCTCTGTAGAACATTCACATTCAGGTCAGAGGAGGCACATGCAAGAGCTCGGGCATGACAGAGTCCTGGGAGAAAGAGAAATAAAAGGGTCGACCACATCAAGGGAGTGGAGGATGCTAAAGTCCTTCAGAGTGAGGCAGGAGAAAGGCTTGGCACAAAGGCTGAGGGGCAGAGAGAAAAACCTAATTTCAGCCGGGCACAGTGGCTCACGCCTGTAATCCCAACACTTTGGGAGGCTGAGGCGGGCGGATCACCTGAGTTCAGGAGTTCAAGACCAGCCTGGCCACCATGGTGAGACCTTGTTTCTACTAAAAGTACAAATAAATTAGTTGGGCATAGTGGTGCACACCTGTAGTCCCAGATACTCAGGAGGCTGAGGCAGGAGGATTGCTTGAACCCCAGACGTGGAGGTTGCAGTGAGTGTAGATTGTGCCACTGCGCTCCAGCCGGGGTGACAGAGCAAGACTCCATCTCAAAAAGAAGAGAAAAATAATTTCTGTCCAGCTCTCCCCACCCCTCCCTACTTGCTTCCTCCTGGTCCTTTTCAATTCTGGAATCCCTGGCTTCTTTGTCCCCAAGAGACACCTTTCCCCCAGTCTTCTATCATCTCTTTCTCCCCATTCCTCCCGGACTAGCTAATTCCTACTCATTGGTCAGATCCCAGCCTGAAAATCTCTTCTTGACCTTTCAGGCTAGATCTGATCCCACAGTAATACACTCTGTACTTCTCCATCAAGCATCTCGGTCGTCTTTGTGTATTTTCATGACTCTGACCAATGCCCAGGCAGTTAGCTCCATGAGGGTAGAGACCAAGTTTATAACAGGTGCCTACCTCAGGGTCTGGCCCAAGTGTGCTCAGTAAAGAGTTATTGAATGGATGAATGAATCAATGAAGGTAAGTAGGTGTTGGCATAGCCTCAGGACTCAAGGCCAGATATTCTTTCTGGAACTGCACAGAAGTTCTAGTTTATCGTCTGCAGTTGACATTGACAACCCTGGGTAACACCAACCACTGTGTACCCTACTGCTGCTCCCATGGCCAAGGTCCTGCCCGGGCCAGGCCAGCTTACTGCTCTCCAGGCTCAGCCTGGCGGTCTGAGCATCGCTGACCATCTTAGGGAGAGATGCTTCTGGGGACTGATGAGGGGGGAAGCCAGACTGGAATGCGTGGGAGGTGAGGAAAGGGAGATTGTGGATGCAGACAGCTTTTTCACAAGTTTGGCTTTGAAAGGGAGGAGAGAATTAGGAGGTAGCTGCAAGGAGATTTGGGGTTTTCAAAGCAGTTTTTTGTTTGTTTTTTTAATTTCAGGAGAGATTTAAATATGTCTAAATGTCAGTGGGCAGGTTCTAGTTAGGAGGGAGAGGTTGAGTAAATAGGAATGGGAAAGAATCCTGAGGCGAGGAGAAGAGGGGCCTCGAATGAGCACCTGGATGGTAGTTAGCAGGCTCCTTCTGCCTCAGGCTTGGCTGAGGCCCCAGACAGGCAGGGCAGCCCCTCCCAATCCCAGCATGGGATGCTAGACCACCTATGCAGGGCTGGGAGGGAAATGTCTGAGAACTGGTAGTTCTGAGTCACTGTATTGACCACCCACATCCAACTTATAAAGCGGTTGGACAGGCCGAGAGAGAGGAGCCAGAGACTAGGAAGCAGGTTTATTTTTTATTTTTTTAATTTTTTATTATTTTTATTATTATTTTATTTTTGAGACAGAGTTTTGCTCTTGTCACCCAGGCTGGAGTGCAGTGGCATGATCTCAGCTCACTGCAACATCTGCCTCTTGGATTCAAGCGATTCTTCTGCCTCAGCCTCCTGAGTAGCTGGGATTACAGGCATGTGCCACCACGCCTGGCTAATTTTGTATTTTTAGTAGAGACAGGGTTTCACCGTGTTGGTCAGGCTGG